>NC_000001.11:246335636-246487151 GCF_000001405.40 Homo sapiens | reverse complement strand
TGAACCAGTAATTATTAAATACTTTTTTTACCTCCTCTGGAAGCTCTTGGATGCAGGTATTGTGTCTTGTACCGTCAATGTCTACCCATTCTGACTGTTCTTATTTAAACAAAATTCTTCAGTATAGTTCTAGACCATATTTTCTATTAGTATAGGTGGGTAATTTTATTTATTTTGTTGTCTTGGAGACCAGTGGATCTTTTGCTTTCCTTATATGTCCATGGGCCTACCTTTTTGAACAGTGTTATGCTCCTCTAAGTCTTATCTCCTTTCTTTAAATGTTGTATATTGGAGAACTATACCATTGCTTTGATCATCAATGAGAATGAGTATGATGAGTGAATTAGTTTTTTTGGGGGTGGTGAGATTACTTTTTTTGAAGATCACTTTTTAATTAGTATTATTCATCTGTTTGTCTACATGGTATACTGAAAAATAGGACTGTACTTGGAGAAGTAAGTCTTAGGTTTGAGCGCTGCTTCCATTTGCTAGATTTGTGACCTTGGGCAAATCACTTAATCTCTTTGATTTTCATTTTCTTCATCTACAGAATGAATGAAATGGGGTTATAATTCCTATCTGTGTCATAGGATTTTAGTGAAGAGCAAATGACTTAATCCAGAGCATTATATAAATGTGAGGTATTATAATCTTCACACTTATCCCTGAAATAAATATTTTAGAGATTAAATATCAATTCAAGAATTGGAGTGGGGTTTCAATTTTTCACTTTTGGCCTAAAAGGTCAGAAGTTCAGGTAGTTATTAGATGAATATCACCTATACTTGGGTATGGAATCTTCTATTATTACCCATTCTAGAGGAATTTGAACCTGTTAATACTTATGTCATATCTGTTAAGGAGCTTTGTTGTCAGATAGATTCTGGTCCAGGTTCTGATGATGCCGTTTACTAATTTCATGAACCTGCAAACTGACTAGCTAAACCTTAGTTTTCCCATTGGTAAAATGGGGTTAACAACAATAATAAAAACAACCTTATAAGATTAGTTAAAAGAACAAATGAGATAATCTATGATAAAGTGTTCAGCATCCAGCGTAAAGCCTGGGATATTATATGTGACTGATAAGTAAGCAGTAATGATACATTTTACTCAGTATAGAGGAGGATGATGGTCAACACTTAAGGAATACTTGCTTTCTGTCAGGAATGAGTCCATGGGCTTTAGTGTGCATTATCTCATTTAGTCTTGCAAAATCTTCTGAGGTCTCTCTTTATATTATTCCTGTTTTACAGATAAGAAAAGTGAAGTTCAGAGAAGTTATATCTTGCTCAAATTATGTAGCTAATTCTGTCTGCACTCAGAGCCCATGATCTTTATTATTATTTTTATTATTATTTTGAGACAGAGTGTTGCTCTGTTGCCCAGGCTGGACTGCAGTGGTGTGATCCTAGCCCACTACAGCTTTGGACTCCTGGGCTCAAGCAATCTTTCCACCTCAGCCCAAATAGCTGGGACTACAGGCACGAACCACCACCCCCAGCTATTTAAAAAAAATTTTTTTTGTAGAGATGTGGGGGGGGGTCTCACTGTATTGCCCAGGCTGGGCTTGAACACCTGGCCTCAAGTGATCCTCTTGCATCAGCCTCCCAAAGTGTTGGAATTATAAGTGTGAGCCGCCGCATCTGGCTAGATCTTTATTATTAATGAAGCTTTTCATTCCTGTTGGAAACTTTTCACATGTCAACAGTAATTATACATTCTGTGATGCTGTGAGTTCATAATAAAATGATATTTATCTTGGAAATTGGAAAAATGTACAGACAGGATTTTATCTATAAAACTCTGGTAGTGTGTAACTAGTGCAATAGTTTAGGTATTTTGGTTGAAGTGATATGTTTTCAGGTGTAACTAGTGCAGTAGTTTAGGTATTTTGGTTGAAGTGATGTGTTTTCAGGTGTAACTAGTGCAATAGTTTAGGTATTTTGGTTGAGGTGATGTCTTTTCAGGTGTAACTAGTGCAATAGTTTAGGTATTTTGGTTGAAGTCATGTGTTTTCAGGTGTAACTAGTGCAGTAGTTTAGGTATTTTGGTTGAGGCGATGTGTTTTCAGGTGTAACTAGTGCAGTAGTTTAGGTATTTTGGTTGAGGCGATGTGTTTTCAGGTGTAACTAGTGCAGTAGTTTAGGTATTTTGGTTGAGGCGATGTGTTTTCAGGTGTAACTAGTGCAGTAGTTTAGGTATTTTGGTTGAGGCGATGTGTTTTCAGGTGTAACTAGTGCAGTAGTTTAGGTATTTTGGTTGAAGTGATGTGTTTTCAGGTGTAACTAGTGCAGTAGTTTAGGTATTTTGGTTGAAGTGATGTGTTTTCAGGTGTAACTAGTACAATGGTTTAGGTATTTTGGTTGAAGTGATGTGTTTTCAGGTGTAACTAGTGCAATGGTTTAGGTATTTTGGTTGAAGTGATGTGTTTTTAGGTGTAACTAGTGCAATGGTTTAGGTATTTTGGTTGAAGTGATGTGTTTTTAGGTGTAACTAGTGCAATGGTTTAGGTATTTTGGTTGAAGTGATGTGTTTTCAGGTGTAACTAGTGCAATGGTTTAGGTATTTTGGTTGAAGTGATGTGTTTTCAGGTGTAACTAGTGCAATGGTTTAGGTATTTTGGTTGAAGTGATGTGTTTTCAGGTGTAACTAGTGCAATGGTTTAGGTATTTTGGTTGAAGTGATGTGTTTTCAGGTGTAACTAGTGCAATGGTTTAGGTATTTTGGTTGAAGTGATGTGTTTTCAGGTGTAACTAGTGCAGTGGTTTAGGTATTTTGGTTGAAGTGATGTGTTTTCAGGTGTAACTAGTGCAGTGGTTTAGGTATTTTGGTTGAAGTGATGTGTTTTTAGGTGTAACTAGTGCAGTGGTTTAGGTATTTTGGTTGAAGTGATGTGTTTTTAGGTGTAACTAGTGCAGTGGTTTAGGTATTTTGGTTGAAGTGATGTGTTTTTAGGTGTAACTAGTGCAATGGTTTAGGTATTTTGGTTGAAGTGATGTGTTTTTAGGTGTAACTAGTGCAATGGTTTAGGTATTTTGGTTGAAGTGATGTGTTTTTAGGTGTAACTAGTACAATGGTTTAGGTATTTTGGTTGAAGTGATGTGTTTTTAGGTGTAACTAGTGCAATGGTTTAGGTATTTTGGTTGAAGTGATGTGTTTTTAGGTGTAACTAGTACAATAGTTTAGGTATTTTGGTTGAAGTGATATGTTTTTAGGTTTCACATCTAAGGAGTTGGGAGTGGCATCTGTTACAATTGTGAAAAAGCAATGGTAGATTTATTAAAATATGGAACATTATTTGGAATTAACCACAAAATGACTTGGATTGTATTTAGATTTGCTCTCCTTTTATTGGAAAGGTCCCAAAAAGCAGAGAGGATGAGAGAGGAGAAAGAATGTGAATGCTCATTGCTGGTCATTTTTTTTTCCTGTGCTATGCCATCTTAATTGTTCATAGCTCTTCTCTTTTAAGAAAGCTTATGTGAGAGCCACAATTGTATCAGAGAACATTATTACATAATTATACAGCCTTCCCTTTCCCTTAAATGGTCCTTTAAGGCTTTACATCTGCAATAGAGATAGCTTAGTGAATATTCTTCCAAATAAGTTTTTTTAGTTTCATTTTTAGATTAGCCTTTTGTATTTGCGTAAAACAGTGCTTTTGGTAAATGTTGTGTATTTAAGGGGAAGAACAGGATACTTCTGGGGGCTGAGGTAAGTGTTTTGATGTTAGTCTCAAGACATGTTTTCATGCTATAAATGATAACTGGAGCTAAACTGATACTCTGGGTGTCTTAATGGTTGTTCTTTTCATTGCCATTTTAGTATGACTCATTATGTAATGCTCTTTAATGTTTTGCTTGAATTAATGTGAATGTTTTATGAGAATGCCTGATTTCAAGGACTTATCAACAGCTTAACTCTTAATGTTCAGGCACATCAATTGAAATATACATATCATCGAGGGGGAAGTCATCCTTTACCTTTAACTTGGTCACTTAAAAAGGAACATTTTTAGAGGAGATCGTCTGGGTACAGTAGAAAATTAGTTTTGTTGTTATGAACAGTAAATCCTTTCTAAGTCTGCAGCTGGGCTTTGTTTAGGTTCAAGAGAGGGGCAATGAGCTCAACCTGGTGCTGTAAGGACATATGGTCTAAGTCAGAAGAAACCTGAAATTTGGGTTAACTAGTTTCATCCCCTTGAGAGATCTGCATATAACTGTAGACTCTGGGGAATCAGAGGCTCCTTGGTCTGCCCTTGTCTGTGGAGCAGTGTTTGCCTCTTTCTATCCCCAACTGCTGGTTTCCCAGGATCTTGTTGGACGTTTCCCCTACTGAGAAGTATATGGCCTTGATTTCCCTGTATCTGAAACTGGAGCACTTTGTGTTTTTTATCGTATCTTATGTTTATAAAACATATGGAACTTGTTACCTTAGTTTTATTGGCCAAAATTATATGTCTTTTAGTTCAGGGGCTGGCCCTTCTTTAGAAGAAAGCACTTGACTGAGATTGCCTAGCTGTTTATCCCGCTGTATGTGCAGGGAGGTGTACTGGCACCTCTGAGTGAGAGCTGTGGAGAGCCCACCATGACTGCTAATCTGCAGTTAGGGAGAGGGTTTGAACTTGGCCCTGACGTAGGCCAGGAAAGGCGACAGAGTGGCTTTCGTCAACCATTGTAACTGTGGAAAAAAAAAATCTGGGGTAATACCACTTTGTGCCACATGATGCTTATGTATGTGATAGATGTAGACACATGATAAATCAATTTATATGGGGGTAAGAAGTACCACCATCTGTAACATTGAGGATGTATCTATAACATTGAGGATCCTATCACTAAGGAGCACTGCTGTGGCTTTCTGCATGTTGCCCTTAGGTGATAACCATTAGTGTAAAGATTATATGCCCTGGGCTGACCCACCATTTTACCTCTCATGGCAAACTGAGGATCACTTTGATGTTAGAAGTTACGGAATTTTTTTTTGCTTCTGAGACAGGGTCTCGCTCTGTTGCCCAGGCTGGTGTACAGTGGCATGATCATGGCTCACTGCAGGCTTGACCTCCTGGGCTTAAATGACCCTCCTACCTTAGCCTTCCCAGTAGCTGGGACTACAGGTGTACACCACCATTCCTGGCTAATTTTGTTTATTTTTAGTAGAGAAAGGGTCTCATTATGTTGCCCAGGCTGGTCTTGAACTCCAGGACTCGAGTGATCCTCCTGCTTTGGCCTCCCAAAGTGCTGGGATTGCAAGTGTGAGCCATTACACCCAGCCAGAAGTTATGGAATTTTTTTGAACCCCTGTATTAAGGTTCTCCAGAGAAACCAGTAGAGTATTGATCGATCGATCGATCTCTCTCTCTCTATATATATATATCTTCTATGGATACACATAATCATATATGATCATATATATACTCATATCAGTTCATATATATATAATCATATATGATCATATATACTCATATATGAGTTTATATATATAATTATATATATGATCATATATGAATATGTGTATGTATGTATGTATATATGTATGTGTATATATATATATATGGAGCCTGAGAAGTCCCATGATCCGTTCTCTGCAAGTTAGAGACCCAGGAAAGTGGAGTCCAATGGCCTGAGAACCAGGAGGATTGATGGTTTAGGTCTCAGTCCAAGAGCAAGAGAAGACTGATGTCTCAGCTCAAGTAATCAGAGAGAGAGAGAGAGAATTCACCCTTTCTCCATTCTTTTGTTCTAATTGGGCCCTCACAGGTTGGATGATATCTACTAACATTTAAAAGGGCAATCTGCTTTCCTCAGTTCACCAATTCAAATGCTATTTTTTTTTCCAGAAAAACCCTCATAGACACACCAAAAAATAATGTTTAACCACATATCTGGGCATCTTGTGGCCCAGTCATGTTTACATGTGAAATCAACCATTACAGATCTGCAGAAGGAAGATGGCATATTGAAGGTATTTGGAACAGATTAATTACATCTATAGTCTATGTGTATTGCTCTTTCTCTGTTAGTTATTATAGAACTTGAGATCTAAAGAGATCTTTTGGATGGGCACAGTGGCTGTAATCCCAGCACTTTGGGAAGCCAAGGTGGACGGATCACTTGAGGCCAGGAGTTTGAGATCAGCCTGGCCAATATTGTGATACCCTGTCTCTACTAAAAATACAAAAAATTAGCTGGGTGTGGTGGCACACGCCTGTAATCCCAGCTGCTTGAGAGGCTGAGGCAGGAGAATCGCTTGAACCTGGGAGGCTGAGGTTGCAGTGAGCCGAGATTGCACCACTGTACTCCATTCAGCCTGGGTGACAGAGCAAGACTCTGTCTCAAAAAAGAAAAAAAAAAGATCTTTTGAAAAAAGGTAACTTGGATAATTGCATTGAGATTTACTTTCATTTTGTCAGAAGGACCCAAAATAGCATAGTGGAAGGGAATGGGGGATTGATTACTATGTTTTCTATGGATACTCATTGCTGGTAAAAATTATTTTTGCTGTACAGTGACATTTTGTAAGGGAGCAGACGTAAGAGCCACCGTTGTGTCAGATAATGTAGTTATATCTTTTCCCCTTTCTCTCGGAATAGGAACTAGATGTGTCTGAATAGAGAGGTGTTTGTTAATCTAACCTTCTAAGGTATTTGAAACATTTTAATATAGTAAAAAAAAGTTGATAATTATGGAAATTGGTTGATGAGTACATGAGAGTGCATTATGCTTTACTTCTTTGTATGTTTTAGTGTTTTGTTACAGAAAATGTTCAATTAAAAGTACTTTAAATACGTGTGACAGAAACTCACACATGGAGTCTCAGGAGCCCGACTTCTCTTTTTAAAATGAAAGAGCCTGGGTGTGTTGGCTCACTCCTGTAATCCCAACGCTTTGGGAGGCCAAGGCAGGAGGATCACTTGAGGCCAGGATGGTCAACATGGTGTGAGACCCTGTCTTTAAAACAAGGCAGACACAACTCTGTGAATGTAAAATGGTTGCATTGTACACTTTAAGTGGGTTACTTTTATTGTTTGCAAATTATAGCTCTATGAAGCTGTTATAAAAACTAAAAAGAAATTAAAAAAAGATCCTTGAACTTCTTTTAGTGATACCTAAAAATACACAGGCTGAATCCAAACAAGGGTCGGGGGAGTAGTTTCTGACCCACCTGATGCTAAACAATTTTTTCAGTATTTGTTGCGATATTTAATGTGAGACTTTACATGCCACTGTTGTTGGTACTGAAGATACAGCAGATATTTAATGTGAGACTTTACGTGCCAGCCACTGTTGTTGGTACTGAAGATACAGCAGAGAACCACAACAGACAAAAATCCCTGCTCTGGGCTGGGTGCCGTGACTCAAGCCTGTAATCCTAGCATTTTGGGAGGCTGAGGTGGGAGGATTGCTTGAGCCCAGGAGTTCACGACCAGCCTGGGCAATATATTGAGACCTTGGCTCTACAAAAATTTTAAAAACTAGCTGAGTGTGGTGGCACACACCTGTAGTTCCAGCTACTTGGGAGGCTGAGGTGGGAGGATCACTTGAGTCTAGGAGGCAGAGGTTGCAATGAGCTGAGATTGCGCCACTGCACTCCAGCGTGGGTGGCAGAGCAAGACCCTGTCTCAAAAAAAAAAAAAAAAAAAAAAATCCCGCTTTTTGACACATGCCAAACACATCACGTGCATTTTAACACCTAATCCACAATGCCTAGCAGGATGCCAGTGGCAAGATGTAATCTCAACAAAAGTGTATTAAATGAACAACCTCGTAAATTAAGTGCTATTTTTATACTCATTTGGCAGTTAAAGTGACTGAGGCTTAAAGAGGTTACTTGACCCAGGTCACACAGCTGTGAGTGACAGAGCTGGATCTGGAACCAGGTCTTCTAGCCCTCATTCCTGGAGTATGAACCATGATCTTGTACCAGCTCCAGGACAGAGGACAGGTGTAACTATATGAGCACTTAATGCACTAGCTCCGGGACAGAGGACAGGTTTACATATATGAGCACTTGTGTACCAGCTCCAGGACAGAGGACAGGTGTACATATATGAGCACTTATGTACCAGCTCCAGGACAGAGGACAGGTGTGCATATATGAGCACTTATGTATCAGCTCCAGGACAGAGGACAGGTGTACATATATGAGCACTTATGTATCAGCTCCAGGACAGAGGACAGGTGTGCATATATGAGCACTTATGTACCAGCTCCAGGACGGAGGACAGGTGTACATATACGAGCACTTATGTACCAGCTCCAGGACGGAGGACAGGTGTGCATATATGAGCACTTATGTACCAGCTCCAGGACGGAGGACAGGTGTGCATATATGAGCACTTATGTACCAGCTCCAGGACGGAGGACAGGTGTACATATATGAGCACTTACGTACCAGCTCCAGATGGAGGACAGGTGTGCATATATGAGCACTTACGTACCAGCTCCAGGACGGAGGACAGGTGTGCATATATGAGCACTTACGTACCAGCTCCAGGACGGAGGACAGATGTACATATATGAGCACTTACGTACCAGCTCCAGGACAGAGGACAGGTGTGCATATATGAGCACTTATGTACCAGCTCCAGGACAGAGGACAGGTGTGCATATATGAGCACTTATGTACCAGCTCCAGGACAGAGGACAGGTGTGCATATATGAGCACCTATGTACCAGCTCCAGGACAGAGGACAGGTGTGCATATATGAGCACTTATGTACCAGCTCCAGGACAGAGGACAGGTGTGCATATATGAGCACTTATGTACCAGCTCCAGGACAGAGGACAGGTGTGCATATATGAGCACTTATGTGTGCATAGACCAGTGCTTTCTCACCTCCTGACTCTGTTACACAGAGTATCCTTAGTATTTACTTCTACTTTTAGGTGACTGTCCAAAGATGCAGTGAAATCTCCTATCATTTAAAGCATCAGTTGTAGAAACTCTTATTGTGGTTTAGGTTAGGTTAGTTAATTTTTTTAAATTGTTTTGGTCTTTAGTCTTGATCGTGTCATAATGTTAGGTAAAATGTAACTGGGTACCTAGCCACATATGTTCTCAGTAGGTCCTCAACAGATGTTTGTTAGTATGAAGACTGGGAGGACCTTAGAAGCAAATTCTCTCAGTCATCTTTGCCCTTATCTACATATGTATTAATATTTCTTGGGTTAGCTGAGACTGACTTTTATGTTTATTTCCTAGCTAGTTGATATTTAATAGTTGGTTGTCTTAGTACCAGTAGTGTAGACGCAGGTGGCTTTTGTGCTGCAGTAGAGTTATAGGCTTCTTTAAATTACAGATTCATTCTGAGAGTGTGGGAAATACTTGTTACCTCAGTTAAGCAGTCAGTAACTCCACAGGCCGTATATGGCTCACAGGAGAAGCCCTGGGCATTGGAGTCTGATAGAGCTGGACTCAAATTCTGATTTTTCCAGTTACTAGGTGATTCAATAAGTTGTGTAAATTCCATGAGCTTTAATTTTCCCTTTTATAAAAATGGTTCTATAATATCTATTGCTGTAACTATGTAATTGAATTTACTACATGTAAAACAAAGAACTATGACATAGTAAGTTTAGATAAATCTGCCCGTAGGTCACACAGTCACTAAAGGTGAATGTAAACCCAGGTCTGCCTAATTGCAAAGCCTGCACCTACTTTCAGGTAGGTGTGCTATAAATGATATTTCCCTTCTAAACTTGTCTCAGGTAGTTTCTCTAGGTTTTCAAAAACAGTGTTAGAATATAGTCGTGTTAAGAGATGATTTTAGTATGTATGTGTGTTTTTTTCTGACATCATGGTACCCGTTGGAGAAAGCTATTATAGTAATTAGGTATCAGTAAGACTAAATGTTAATTTTAAAACCTAACAAATTCATTGATTATATTTATCTAAGTATCTTATAAGGTGGGAAAATAGGATGCATACACAAAGAAAACTCTGAATAGTCCTTAAAAGGGAGTGTGCAAGAAAGTTTTTAGAAATAGCTTGAATTTGAGAAAGAGAAATGAGGTTTAAGTTTAATAGGAATTAAACATTTTAATTTTGGTCTAGATTGAAAGAAGAAAATTGGTTTCAATTCACATCAGAGATGTCTTTAAATGTCAGGTCTGAATCATGTTGTTTTCAATAGAGAAGCATGACTAGTTGGAACAATTTCTTTCTCTAATCCCTCCTTTAAAAAGTTGCTGAGCTAGAGTGTTCCAGAGACAAGCTGTCTTTTACAGGTTTTTGTGACGTATTTGATAATTGAATAGTCAAGAGTTTTGTGTCTTACTTGATGTATTTGTTTTTACATGTAATTTTTAGTCAAATGCCAACTGGAAAAGCTTGTCTGCAAAAAAGAAAAAGTTGTTTTCTTCTCTGTGTTTGTATGGGGACAGGAAGAAATAGGCTTTTGTCCTTAGACTAGAAAAATAAGGACATTGAACAAATCAAGTTCTTTTTAGTTGGGTCTTGAATTTTATTGTAAATTGAAAGTCTTCATATAGGTTGAAAGCAGCCCCTTGGTTCTGTATTTGAATTGCAGATATAATTGCCTCTTTGCTTAGATTGTTAGGATCTGAGTTAAATATCACCCCTTTCTTGATGCTTAGTTGGGTAGCAGGGCAAAGTGGTTTACAGTCTTGTTACTTAAAATACAGTCTGTGGACCAGCAGCATCAGTGTAACTAAATGATTTTGGAAATGTAAAATCTCAGGCCCAGTCTTAGACCAACTTAACTCAGAATCTACATTTTAACAAGATCTCCAGGTGATGTGCATGCCTATTAAAGCCCGAGAGGCATAGAGGCGTGGATTGGACTGGCCCGTGGAGCCAGTTTAAATCCTGAATCTGAGACTTACTAACTTTGTGACATTGGGCAAGTAATTTAACCTCTGCATCTCAGTTTCCTTAACTGTAAAACAGTGACGATGATGGTACGTTTGCAATGTTTAGAGGAGTTCGTAGGAAGTACTCCATTAGAATTACCTAGATATTTTTAAAATATAGAGTACACTGTATACTTTGATGTGTAATTATAGAATAAAATGTCCATATTCATTAGAATGAACATTACAATTTGTTGGTAAAGTGAAAGAAAAATAGCTTTAGGATCATATACTGTCATTATCTTTCTGAACTGTATTTCTATATTACCTGTCATAGAATAACAAAATCTAGATAGCTTATAACCTTTGCTTTGAGTGTGAATAAAATCTATTTTAGCTATTGCTTCAAAGTAAAAACTTGGCTGGACGTGGTGGCTCACGCCTGTAATACTAGCACTTTTGGTGGCCAGGGTGGGTGAATTGCTTGAGCTCAGGAGTTTGAGATCAGCCTGAGCTAATGGTGAAACCCTGTCTCTACCAAAAATATGAAAAATTAGCCTGGTGTGTTGGTGCATGCCTGTAGTCTCAGCTACTCGGGAGGCTGAGGCGGGAGGATTGCTTGAGCCTAGGAGGTGGAGGTTGCAGTGAGCCGAGATTGTGCCACTGGTCTCCACTCTGGGCAATACAATGAGACAGAGTCTTGCTCTGTCGCTCAGGCTGGAGTGCAGTGGTGTGATCTCGACTCAATGCAACCTCTGCCTCCCTGGTTCAAGCGATCCTCTTGCCTCAGTTTCCCGAGTAGCTGGGACTACAGGCACGCGCCATCATGCCCGGCTATTTTTTTTTGTATTTTTAGTAGAGGTGGTGTTTCACCATGTTGGCCAGGCTGGTCTCGAATTCCCGACCTCAAATGATCCACCTACCTCAGCCTCCCAAAGTGCTGTGATTACAGGTGTGAGCCATGGCTGCCGGCCAAAAAGTACAAACTTTTTTTTTTTTTTTTTTCTGAGACAGTCTCTCGCTGTGTTGCCCAGGCTGGAATGCAGTGGTGGGCTCTCGGCTCACTGCAACCTCCTCTTCCGGGTTCAAGCAGTTCTCCCTCAGTCTCCCAAGTAGCTGGGATTACAGGCGCCTGCCACCATGCCTGGCTAATTTTTTGTGTTTTAGTCGACAGGGGTTTGATAGGGATGGGGTTTTGCCATGTTGGTCAGGGTGGTCACGAACTCCTGGCCACAGGTGATCCACCTACCTCAGCATCTCAAAGTGCTGGGATTACAGATGTGAGCCACCGCGCCCGACCAAGTACAAACTTTTTAATGCGCCACAAATCACTGTGAGGTTGTAGTTGGGGATTTGACCATCTTTGCCAAAAGTACCAGAGGCGACACCCTCCTTAATCTGATAGCACAGATAGGACCAATTTTCTTAGTTCTTACCAGTCCTAGCTACAAGGCTCAAAGCCTTCCCCTTCCTGCTACTTGACAGAATTTCCTCATACAGTAGCAACTTCTTGGAAAGTGGGAGGGAAGGAGAAAGGGAGATACTGGAAAGAAAGCCAGAGAATGACCTGCAGACAATACCACGCCCTCTGTCTCCTGTCTCCCCTTTTCCTTCCATAAACCTTGGAGTTGCTGACCTCTGCAGTAATTGTTAGAGTCCTATTTTATATATAGTAGAGATTAAAAACTCAATCCTTATATTTTGTATTTCTATACATAGAATTTATTTGATGTTAATAATTGTTTAGTGTCAGTTTAAAAACAAGTAGTGAAACCTCATTACTCCTGCATTTCTTTTTTTTTTTTTTTTTTTTTTGAGAGGGGAGTCTTGCCCTGTTGTCCAGGTTGGAGTGCAGTGGCTCAATCTTGGCCCACTGCAACTTCTGCCTCCCGGGTTCAAGCGATTCTCCTGCCTCAGCCTCCTGAGTAGCTGGGACTATAGGCACGTGCCACCACGCCCAGCTAATTTTTTGTATTTTTGGTAGAGACAGGATTTCACCGTGTTAGCCAGGATGGTCTCGATCTCCTGATCTCATGATCCACCCGCCTTGGCCCCGCAAAGTGCTTGCATTAAAGGCATGAGCCACCGCGCCCGGCCCACTTCTAAATTTCTATAAGAACTGTTTAAAACTGAATGCCTGTCTTATCTGTGAGGGATAAGACTACAGACTTCAAAGTTTAGGTAAAAGCTGAAAACACTCCGATGTAGAATTAGAACATTTTGAATCCTGTTCCAATTAATTTATTTAGATGTTAACTATTAGTAAGCATGTTATAGGATTAGATTAAAAATAAATTGTTAATAACTTTTGGTAGGTATTATGTATGGTGAATTTAAATGGCCTAGCAGATTTTTTTGTTATCTTTTGAAAATTACAATTTCAGCTTTATTAGTGATGGAGCATTTGAAAAGTGGCTTGGGTAGATGGCAACAATCGGCTGCTGCAAAATTTGGCAACAAAGACAAACCTCATTTGGTCTCATGGGAATGCTGGACAAGTACACCTGCAGGCTTTCCCCTGAGGGGCAGAGCATACCTCTTTAAAACTTAAGTCATGGAGGAGTGGTACCCCCTCGCCCCAAAAAACAAACTCTGAAGGGATTGAGGCATATGTGTTCCGCCTCTTCTCTTATACTGTAATAACAGTAAGTCATAATAATAACAATATGTCATAAATGGCTTTTAGATCACCAGTGCATAGCTGGGTAGTTGTCTGTCTGCTATGGTGGTGGGGGGCAATTTTAGCACATTAAAAAGTGTTTTTGAAACCCAACAAGGCCTATTAGAAAATCAGTAATATTCCTAGCTAGAAGCAACTGACCTTATAAAATAATGTTTTTAGAAAAATGGTTCTGAAACAAGCCTAGAGTGGTAATTTACAGAGCTAGTCCAAAAACACTTTCTTCTCTGAGATGAGCAGAATACTTAGCAAAAGTAATAAGGAATCAAGGCATTTTTTTTGAATTTCAAAATATATAACATAAAATGAATAATAACATAATAAATCAGGTTTACTCTAAATATATTCTGAACTCAAACTGCTGAAGTGCTATTTATCTCCAAGATGTAGAACCAGTTAACTTAATAGTTTCTCGTATTGCCAGAACCTAAGCCATGTAAAAAGATAAACTAAAACATTAAGATACCTACCAAATGAGGGAATGAAAAAGATTCATTAGGCCGGGTGCAGTGACTCATGCCTGTAATCCCAGCACTTTGGGAGGCCGAGGCAGGTGGATCACCTGAGGTCAGGAGTTCAAGACTAGCCTGGCCAACATGGTGAAACCCAGTCTCTACTAAAAATACAAAAATCAGCTGGGTGTGGTGGCATGTGCCTGTAATCCCAGCTACTTGGGAGGCTGAGCAGGAGAATCACTTGAACCCGGGAGGCACAGGTTGCAGTGAGCTGAGATTGCTCCACTGCAGTCCAGCTTCAGTGACAGAGTGAGACTCTGTCTCAAAAAAAAAAAAAAAAAAAAAAGAAATTTGAGAGTAACTGCGGGAGACTCCCTGAAATGAAATAGTTAGATATGATTGCCTTGGGGAGCAGGAGAAGGAAGCTTTTTGTTTTTTCTGTTTGACTTTTTTTTGGAGACAGGATCTTGCTCTGTCACCCAGGCTGGAGTGCAGTAGTGTGATCATGGCTCGGGGTAGCCTTGACCTCCCGAGATTAAGCGATCCTCCCCTATCAGCCTCCCCAGTAGCTGGGACTACAGGCGCATGCCAGCATGCCCAGCTAAGTTTTTCTGTTTTTTGTAGGGACAGGGTCTCACTCTGTTGCCTAGGCTGGTCTCAAACTCCTGTGCCCAACTGATCTGCCCGTCTTGGCCTCCCAAAGTGCTGGGGCTACAGTCATGAGCCACTATGCCCAGCCTATTTGCCATTTTAACCATATGGTATATATTGCTTTGATTAAAAATTTAAAAACAAAATAAAATTCTAATCTAGCAGGTATAGCGAAAAACAATGACAACAAAAAACAACATAGTAAAAGGTGCTTCCAGCTATTGTAGAAGCATATTCCACTCATTAAATTGCAAAAAGGGCTGCCTGTCACTTTTCTGTTTTCTTTTTTTTCTTCTTCCACAAGATCAAAAGCCTCTGATGATCATAATTACCTATGGCACGTTCTGTATGGGTGCTAGGCGGGTGGATTTGTAGGAGTGTGGTGTGTGTGTTTTTCTGAGGCCCCTTGTGGCTTGTGCTGGAGTGTTGCCTATTTAACCTTTGGTTTTCATTTTTCCTTTTTTTTGTTTTTTTTCAACTTAAAGAACATCTGGAATCATTGAAAAATTAAAATCAAATATTTTGGTTGAATGCTTACATGCTTTTAATGGACTTATTCAGAGCATAATACATCACAAGTAACACCTACTTTAGGTTTTTGTTCCCCAAGATTGGACTGATTGTCTTCACTTTCTATATTTGGGTTGTGCTTCCTGCTAATTAGCTTTTAAAAGCCACTGAGATTAGGAGCCAAATTTGGTACCTGCATAGTTTTTAGCCTAGTTAACTTAAGAAGTAGTCTTTCTACATTTTTATCAAACTTCTTTCTATGCAAATGTAATGATCTATTTATAGATAAGATATAAAGTGTTTTAATCTTACTCAGGGGATCCCTGATGAGCCCAAAATGAAATCCGAGTGGAACAGTAAGCAGAGCGCCAGTGCATAATTGCTGTGCTAGTTGAAGTTTTAATCCTCTCATAAAATGTTTATCTATGCTTTATATCACATTAATTTTTAGATCTTCTTCACTGGAAAGTTTATTTTGTTACCTTGCTTATATGGTTGAAATTAAAGATGACAGGTTAATGCAGTCTTATTTTAAAATATGGGGCCAGGCATGGTGGCTCACACCTGTAATCCCAGCACTTTGGGAGGCCAAGGATGGGGAATCAGTTGAGGCCAGGATTTTGAGACCAGGCTGGGCAACATGGCAAGACCCTGTCTCTACAAAAAAACAGAATTAACTGGGAGTAGTGGCATGTGCCTGTAGTCCCTGCTACTTAGGAGGCTTAGGCAGGAGGATCACTTGAGCCCAGGAGTTGGAGGCTGCAGTGAGCCATGATCATACAGCCGCACTTCAGCCTGGGGGACAGCAAGACCCCATCTCTAAAAAAATAAATAAAAATTAAAAAAATTAAAACATCTTTTAAAATTGGTCAAACTGCTTTTAAAAAGCTTTATTTTGGAATAATTTTAAAATTACAGAAAAGTTGGAAGAATAGTACAGACAACCCTTACATGCCTTTTATCTAAGTAAACAAATTTTAACATTTGCTCTATTGGCTTTATCATATTTATTTATTTCCTCTCTATACACACCACCCCCCACACACAACACACATACATAAATATTATTTATTTTTCTTAACTATTTGAGGGTAGGCTGCATACCTAATGTCTCTTTCCTTACCACTTTAGTGTACATTTCCTAAGAACAAGGATATTCTCTTATATAACCATTCTACACTTAGTCAAATCCAAAATACTTAACATTCACACAGTACTTTTGATCTCTAGTTCATTTTTCCAATTTTGTCGATGTTGCAATAATGTCCTTTGTTGCATTTTTTTCCTTTAGTCCAAGATCCAGTGTAGGATTTTTTTTGTGTGTATGTATATATATATGCACATACATATGCACTATATATATACACACATATGCACTGTATATATACACATACATACACTATATATATAGTGTGTATATATATAGTGTGTGTATATATACACAATGTATAGTGTGTGTGTATATATATAGTGTGTATATATAGTGTATGTATGTGTATATATTATATATATATATATTTTTTTTTTTAATTTTTTTTTATTTTTAGACAGATTCTTGCTCTGTCTCCTAGGCTGGAATGCAGTGGTGTGATCTTGGGCACTGCAACCTCCGCCTTCCACGTTCAAGCGATTCTCCTGCCTCGGCCTCCTGAGTAGCTGGGATTACACGTGTGTGCCACTACACCCAGCTAATTATTTTTTGTATTTTTAGCAGAGACAGGGTTTTGCCATGATGACCAGGCTAGTCTCGAACTCCTGACCTCAGGTGATCCTCCCGCCTCGACCTCCCAAAGTGCTGGGATTACAGGCATGAGCCACTGTGTCCAGCTGGATTATATATTAATACATGTAGTTGTCATGTCTCTTTAGTCTCCATTAATCTGGAGTAGTTCCTCAGCCTTTTCTCATCTTTTATGATATTAATATTTTTGAAGAATGCAAGTCAGTTATTTTATAGAATAAAAAAACCGAATTAGATTTGTCTGATGTTTTCTCATGATTAGACTTGAATTTTTCAACCCCAGCCAGAGTATTACATAAGACAGTATTTATGTAGTGTATGTGTGATACTGTGTTGTTCTGAGGATATCACACCAGGAAGCACACAATGTCCATCTGCTCCTAGTTGGTGAAGTTTTAATCACTTGGTTAAGATACAGCCTTGGGTGAGTAGTTACTGTTTTTCCCCTTGTAACTAATGAGCCAGTCTGTGGGGAGACACTTTGAGACCATGCAAATGTCTATTCCTCGTCAGTTTTTTTTCCTCCATAGAGTTAACATCTATTATTGATTGGTTCTTACCTGAATCATTATTTATGGTTCCCTCCACATTTATGTCTTTATTTTCTTCTAAGGAGGAGCCTTACCTTCTCCTCTATTTATTTATGTATCTATTTATTATTAGTATGGACTCATGGGTTCCTATTTGTTCCATTGGTTCCTATTTGTTCCATTATTGTTCTTATTTATTTTGATGCTGAAATTGTCACTGATTTGACTCATGGGAGCCCCTTCAAGCTGGCTTCTGTATTTGATCTACCTCCATAATTTTTAGGAACACTTTCTTACTCTCTGGAATGACAAAATGTTCCAGTCCAACAAAATGTTCCAGGCTTATGTTGTACTTTGCCTTCTCAGCCTGGTTTCAGCCATTTAAAAAATCCCTTTAGCTTTTGTTGACATATTAACACCATGCCTTGACTGCTAGGTAGTAAGATTTATAATAAGTTTGGGCCTTTTTCGGCCAAGGGGAATTGTGGAATGGAAGAAGACCAAGATTGAAGAAGTCGTTGGTGAGACCTCCTCTGTTTGGGAGGTGTGTCAGATAGATGAGAGTGATTGTGGAAAGCAGGTGGCTAACAGCAGAGAGGCCTCTCCAGTGAGTGGCCAAGGAGACTGGCCACATATGGCAACTCTGAGTTCTTCATGGCATGTGCTTGTCATGCTGGGGATCCAGAAGTTCTCTTTTGCTCTAGTGATGGAATGTGGAGGTACTGAATGGGCCAGTGGGTAGGCAGTAGCCTGGGTTTAGCGTGAAAAGGCTACCATGTACAGAGGCTTAATGACTGAAGGCACAGTCTTGTTGGCCAGGCTGGAGTACAGTGGTATGATCATAGTTCACTGTAGCCTCCAACTCCTTGGCTTAGGTGATCCTCCTGCCTTAGCCTCCTAAGTACCTAGGACTCCAGGCATGTACCACCATGCCCGGCTAATTTTTAAAGTTTTTCCAGTGGTAATGTCTTGCTTTGTTGTCTAGTCTGGTCTTAAACTCCTGACCCCAAGCAACCCTTCCACCTCAGCCTCCCAAAATGTTGAATTACAGACATGAGCCACCACACCCAGCCCTGTTAATTTTTATTTGTTATTATTATTGTTATTAATTTTTTTTCCTTTTTTTGGAGACAGAGTCTCACTCTGTCACCCAGGCTGGAGTGCAGTGGTGTGATCTTGGCCCACTGCAACCTCTGCCTCCTGGGTTCAAGTGATTCTCCTGCCTCAGCCTGTCAAGTAGCTGGGATTACAGGCATGTGCCACCATACCTGGCTAATTTTTGTATATTTTGTGGAGATGGGGTTTCACCATGTTGCCCAGGCTGGTCTTGAACTCCTGAGCCCAAGCGATTTGCCCGCCTCAACCTCCCAGAGTTCTGGGATTACAGATGTGAGCTACCATGTCTGAACTGTAAATGTTTTTAAAAAGGCATATTGAATTTTGTCAAATGCCTTTTTCTGCATCTATAGAAATGATCATATATTTTTTGTTTTTCATTCTGTTAATGTGATGTATCATGTTTACTGATTTACTTATGTTAAACCATCTTTGCGTCCCTGGGATGAATCCCACTCCATCATGGTGAATTATCTTTTTTTTTTTTTTTTAAGACAGAGTCTTGTTCTGTTGCCCAGGCTGGAGTGCAGTGGTGAGATCATGGCTCACTGCAACTTCCACCTCCTGGGCTTAAGTGATCCTCCCAACCCAGCCTTCTGAGTAGTTGGGACTACAGGCATGTGCCACCACGCCCGCCTAATTTTTGTAATTTTAGTAGAAACGGGGTTTCGCCATGTTGCCCAGGCTGGTCGTGAACTCCTGGGCTCAAGCGATCTGCCCACCTTGGCCTCTGCAAGTACTGGTGAGTGCTCTTTTTGATGTGCTGCTGAATTTGGTTTACAAATATTTTGTTGAGGATTTTTGCCTCTATGTTAATCAGGGATATTTGTCTGTAATTTTCTTCTTTTATTGTGTCTGTCTGGTTTTGCTGTCAGAATAATGCTGGCTTTTTTGAATGAGTTTGGAAGTATTCCCTCCTCTTCCATTTTTTGGAATAGTTTGAGAAGAATTAGTACTAGTTCTTTAATTGCTTTTTAGAGTTCAGCAGTGAAGCTGTCAGGTCCTGGGCTTTGCTTTGATGGGAGACTTTTATCTTGGATTGTATGTGTTAGGAATTTATCTCTTTTTTTATGTTATTGAGTTGGTTGACCTATAGTTGTTCATAATATTACGATCCTTAGTATTTCCATTGTAATAGCTCCTTTTCCATCTCTGATTTTCTTTATTCGAGTCTTCCCTCTTTTTGTCTAGCTAAAGGTTTGTCAATTTTGTGTTTTTTAAAAAACCAGCTCTTTGTTTCATTGATCTTTTGTATTGTTTTTCTAGCCTCCATTTCATTTATTTCTGCTCTTATATTTTTATTATTTCCCTTATATTTATGTTGGGTAGTTCAAGCAAAACAGGTAGCATCCTAAAGTATGTGAAATCTAATTCTGTCAAATGATGTGTCTCTCCTGTCCTAAGTAATAGAGTCACAGCAACTTGCCATTGTTTTATTGGTAAGTGTATTTTATTTTTAAATTTTATTTATTTATTTTTTTTGAGATGGAGTCTCACTCTGTCGCCAAGGCTGGAGTGCAGTGATGTGATCTCAGCCCACTCCAACCTCCACCTCCTGGGCTCAAGTGATTCTCCTACCTCAGCCTCCTAAGTAGCTGCGATTACAGGCACACGCCCCCATTCCCGGCTAATTTTTTTGTCTTTTTAGTAGAGATGAGGTTTTGCCATGATGGCCAGACTGATTTTGAACTCCTGACCTCAAGTGATCCACCTGCCTTGGCCTCCCAAAGTGCTGGGATTACAGGCGTGAGCCACTGCGCCCAGCATTTTTAAAAAAAAAATTTTAAAAATTATTATTCTTTTTGAGACAGGGCCTCACTCTGTTGCCCAGGCTGGAGTGCAGTGGCATGATCATGGCTCACTGGAGCCTTGATTTCCCGGGCTCAAGTGATCCTCCCCCATCAGCCTCCTGAGTAGCTGGGGCTATAGGCATGTGCCACCATGCCCAGCTCATTTTTAGTTTTAAAATTTTTATTTTAGGTTCAGGGATACGTGTGCAGGTTTTTTATATAGGTAAACTCATGTGATGTGGGTTTGTTGTATAGATTATTTTGTCATCCACATATTAAGTCTAGTATCCAACAGTTATATTTCCTGATCCTCTCCCTCCTTCCAACCTCCACCCTCAAGGAGGCCCCAGTGTCTGTTGTCCCTCTTTATGTGTCCATGTGTTCTCATCATTTAGCTCCCCCTTTAAGCAAGAACCTGCAGTATTTGGTTTTCTTTTCCTGTGTTAGTTTGCTAAGGATGATGGCCTCCAGCTCCATCCATGTTCCTGCTGAGGACATGATTTTGTTCTTTTTATGGCCGCATGCATAGTATTCCATGGTGTATAGGTACATTTTCTTTATGCATTCTACCATTGATGGGCATTTCAGCTTTTGCTATTGTGAATAGTGCTGCAGTAAATATACATGTGCATGTGTCTTTAGGTTAGAATGATTTATATTCTCTTGGGCATATACCAAGTAATGGGATTGCTGGTCAAATGATAGTTCTGTTTTTAGGTCTTTGAGGAATCACCACACTGTTTTCCACAATGGTTGAACTAATTTACATTCCCACCAACAGTGTATAAGTGGCCAGGAGCAGTGGCTCACGCCTCTAATCCCAGCACTTTGGGAGGCCAAGGCAGGTGGATCACACGAGGCCAGGAGTTTGAGACCAACCTGGCTAAAGTGGCAAAACCCCATCTCTACTAAAAATACAAAAATTAGCCAGGTGTTGTGGTGCTTGCCTGTAATCCCAGCTACTCAGTAGGCAGGCGCACGAGAATTGCTTGAACCCAGGAGGCAAGGTTGCAGTGAGCTGAGATTGTGCCACTGCACTCCAGCTTGGGCAACAAAGTGAGACTCTGTTTCAAAAAAATGAAAAACAAAAAACAAGTGTTTAAGTGTTCTCTTTTCTCCACAGCCTTACCAGCATCTGTTTTTTATTTATTTATTTTTTAATAATCCAGATGATTTTTAATTTTTTTGTAGACATATGGTCTCACTATATTCCCCAGGCTGGTGCTGGTCTGGTACTCCTGGGCACAAGCAATTCCTGCCTCAGCCTCCCAAAGTGTTGGGATTACAGGCATGAGCCACCGTGCCCCGCCCCGATAGGTGTTCTTTTAATACTTCTTCTGAACTTTTCAACTTCCTTCATTAATTTATGTTAATTACCAGCACTGATTCCCTGCATCATCGAGGAGTTATTAGTGGTGTATTTGGCACTAGTTTTAGAAGTAGATGCCGCTATGTTTTATTCATTTACAGAGTGATGGCAGCTCATAGTTAGTCCTACAAGTGCATTATTACTGATTTGTGAATTCGTTTATTTTTCCTGAAACAATTCAAGTCTTTAGAAAGAGAATCCGAATTATTTTGTAGAATACCATCTCCTGCCATATCCCTTGGGTCTGATGAAACAGATTTGACAAGAAAACATCAGTTGGTGTTTAGGCATTTTTCTCTCTTTTATTAATTACCATCTTGAAGGATAGTAGCATCTGGAAAACAAAAAAAGAGGTTTAGCTGAGATGCTTTTGTTTGATTTATATTTTATCCCTGCAGTTTGTATTCCTCATTTTCAAGGAATTTCTTTGTTTCTTTTTTTCTTGTCAAGTAAAGCAGTGGGAGTGGCGAAGGAACAAAGAAATCCATAGCTGGTTGTGATCAATTAATTGTAAACACAAGGAATTTATTTCTTAAAGCAAGAAGATATATTAAATGACAATCTCAAGTTTCCCAAGTCAAGCTAAAATCAGATTATATGACAAAACCCTCTTCTTTCTTTGCTTTAACACAGAGAACAAAGGAAGATGCTAGTACTAATAAATAAACATTAACAGATCCATGGGGGAAAAAAAGACTACACAGAACCAGTTGTACTTTAGTGGCTAACAATTTATTGATAAGTCCAGACTAATCTTAACACAGTGAGCCAGAAAACTGAGAATTTAGAGGATGCTGTGTGGCTCCAAGAGTGTTTCCTCAACCACTGTCCTACAGACACACAAACAGTTTACCTAGACACCATCGTGGAGAGGAGGGGCTAAACCCTTCACATGGGTCCTGGATCCCGTGTATTTTGGCCTTCTTGGAAACTTATGCTATTGAATATTTTCTGTCTTTCTTGTATACCTTTTTTTGAGACAGGGTCTGTCTCTGTCACCCAGGCTGGAGTGCAGTGGAGCAGTCATGGCTCACTGCAACCTCCGCCTCCTGGGCTGAAGTGAGCCTCCCACCTCAGCCTCCCGAGTAGCTGGGATCATAGGCACATGCCACCACTCCTGGCTAAGTTTTTAAATTTTTAGTAGAGATGGGGTTTTGCCATGGTGCCTAGGTTGGTCTTGAACTCCTGAGCTCAAGTGATTTGCCCACCTCGGCCTCCCAAAGTGCTGGGTCTACAGGAGTGAGCCACTGCACCAGGCCTTTTCTTGTGTATCTTTAAACCTTTTTCTCTCTCTACTGACACATTCCCATCAGCTCTTAAACATGCTATATTGTCTTTCCTCAAAAAGAAAACAAAGAGCACCCTCTCCGTTTGCCTTACACTTCTTAAGGCTACTGTACCATCTCTTCTTCATAACCAAATTTCTCAAAACCTTTGTTAATAAACAGAGACTCCAGCTTCCTTTGCAGGCTCATCCTCGCCTGGCATCTAAAGTGTAGATTTTAGACCTGTTTCTGGGCCATCTTTTCCGTCCATATGCCTCCTCTGTTGTCTTACAGAGTTGCAATTACTTATATAATTGTTATTCTTGAAATTATATTTCAGTCTAAACAGACCTTTCTTTTAATTCCACACTCTTTTTTTTTTTTTTTTTTTTTTGAGACGGGGTCTCGCCGTCTCCCAGGCTGGAGTGCAGTGGTGCGATCTCGGCTCACTGCAAACTCCGCCTCCTGGGTTCACGCCATTCTCCTGCCTCAGCTTCCCGAGTAGCTGGGACTACAGGCGCCCGCCACAACACCCAGCTAATGTTTTTTTTTTTTTTTTTTTTTTTGTATTTTTAGTAGAGATGGGGTTTCACCGTGTTAGCCACGATGGTCTCCATCTCCTGACCTCGTGATCCGCCCGCCTCGGCCTCCCAAAGTGTTGGGATTACAGGCGTGAGCCACCGTGCCTGGCCCCACACTCTTGTATTTAACTGTCTAGTTGATATTTCAACTTAGATATCTCAGAGGAGCTGGAAATTCCACATGTTTAAAACAGTATTCTCAATCTTCATTCTTAAATTTGCTTCTCTCCTACCTTCCTTATTTCAGTAACTAGTACCCCACTGTTTTGTCCTTGTGACATCCTCTCTCCCTCTCCCTGACCTGTTAGCCTAATAACTGCAATCCTGTTGATTTCAGCAGTAGAATGTTTCTCAAATATACATATATCCCTGTATCTCTGCTATCATCATCCTAGTTGAAACCATCATACCATAACCTCTTGCCTAAATTTCTATCTTAGTCTCCTGATTCGTCACCTGGTATTCATTCTTGTTCCCCTCCTACCCTCCTAGCTACTGTTCTCGGTTCAGGGCTTCAGATTGTTAGCATGCCTATGTGTCCCTCCCTGCCTCATCTTGAACCACTCCTTGACTTTTTCCTTTTCTCAATCTCATTGCAGTCATTCAGCAAGTTCATTTCATTTTCCTTCCTATATCACCAAGTTTTTCTTGCATTCTCCTTTCCATGCCTACTACACAGTTCAGGCCCCCAGTTTCTCACCTGGATGTCATCCCTGCCACAGCCTCTTAGATGTGATTTTGCTGTCCCCTACCATTTTTTTCTTTCTTTTTTTCTACTCAATTAAAATGTATTTTGTTGCTTTGTTTACCAGCAAATTGTATAGTATGTATCTCATTTCGACCTAAAATGTTTCTTAATTCTCATTTCTTATTTACTAATCTGTTTTTTGTTAGCTCATAGAGTGAGCTATCTAAGATTTCTCTGAATCCTGATTTCTTACAACATAAAATCCAAAATCCTTAGTGTGTTTGTGTAGCCCTCCAGTTCTGACCCTTCTCTCAGCTCCAGGCTGAGTTTGTTTCAGCTATACCAGATGGCCTGATGGTGATTCTTCTGCCCTCCGAGCCTCGGGGTCAAGGGATGCGCCCAGAGATGGGGTGATCTGACATGCAGTTTTGTGGGTGGTGGGGTCTGTGTGACCCTTCCATTGCTCAGGTGTACAATTACCAGTGGACACAGTGGCACAGTCGGGGGCCTATGACTTGAGGCCAGGCCCCCATGGAGTCGTGGGAGAGGCAGGTCCAAGGATGGGGGTACCGCTGATCACTGTGGAGCACAGTTCTCCAGACCTCTAGGCATGGGGTCCTGCAGCATCCACGGGAGAATTCACTATACCCAGCAGGCCCCGCGAGAGGATGCACTGTACCCAGCAGGCCCCGCGGGAGGATGCACTGTACCCAGCAGGCCCCGCGGGAGGATGCACTGTACCCAGCAGGCCCCGCGGGAGGATGCACTGTACCCAGCAGGCGAATTCTTCTTGCCATGCCCGTACTCACAATGCTAGGCTTTCCACACCTCCACACACGTAAAAGTGTTCAGAAACCAAACCTTCACCTGGATGCCTCCTATCCTTTGTTTTAGATTTCACCTCTTTTGTGGAAGCCTTCCTTGCCCTCCCTACCACACTAGCCTGGATTAGGTACTCTACTCTGTGTTGCACTTTGCAAATTAAATTACATTTGGTTTATACGTTTGTTCCTTTTCTAAACTGTGAGTACCTTCATCTTTATGTCTCTAGAATTAGGCAGACAATCAATTAATTTAGAATAAATGAGAATGAATACGTGAACACAGGTATGCCAAAAGTGTGTGGCTCTGTGAAAACCAGCTAATAGTGGTACTTTTCCTGTGTCTGAGAAAACAAAGTTTGCGAATACATTTTCTCAATTTTAATTTTTTTTTTTTTTTTTTTGAGACAGAGTCCAGTTCTGTTGCCCAGGCTGGAGTGCAGTGGCGCAATCTTGGCTCACTGCAAGCTCAGCCTCCCGGGTTCATGCCATTCTCCTGCCTCAGCCCCCTCAATTTTAATTTTTTTTTTACATATTTTTTCTTAGCCTTTAGTTACCTAATTCTCTCTAGCAAAACAAATAGATAAGTAGCAAGTATATGTTTTTGAAAACACATGGAAATAGATTGCTGTGCTTTATATGATTTCTATTTTTCTATAGAAACATGTTTATGATGTGATTATTTTTGGCACTAAAATTGTTCTAAGTTTTTACTATGGATTTTAACATAATAACATGTATATAATTTGGAAGTATTTTATGACTTTTCCAGAAATATGTAGTGTTCTGCATAATACCTGGAGCTACATGTACTAGGTATTTAGGAAATATTCTTGTTGACTAATTTCCACTTTTTTTCCCACTAATTTCCACTAATTTCAGATAATTTCCACTATCTGATAAAGATGGACAGCCTTTAAACTAGAGAATAAACATGCTTGAATTAATTTTCCTTGAAACAAAATCAGATTATTAATACAAGAAATCCTACAAGATGCCCAACGCTTATTTGATGTATTGCTACATTCTCTTTAACTTACATTTTTCAGAAGTTACCTTAAACAATTTAGAGTCATTTTATGCCTTTAATAATATTTGAGCACAGCTGTCTTCTGCCTCATGGTCTTTTCTTCAGGCTAACTTGTCATGGCTTGTAGCCTTGTAGCTGATAGATACTCTTATGATGATTGGGGTTTATTTAGCCCAGACAGCATTCATTGTAAGTGTGGTAAAAATGTACTAAATTTGTACTTAGCTAATTAGGAGTTTATAATAATTCTGACATGCTGAATTGAAGTTTCTTTGTAATGTTCAAGGCAAAGAGAAAAGGATTTGTTTAGCTAATTAAAACTATAAACAAGACGGAATGTTTAATCTACTTGAGGCAAACCAACAACTGTTTTCAAGTACTTATGAAATCAACATAAACTAGGAAAACACCAATTGAAATTATTTTTTATTAAAACACTAAAGGATTTTCTAAGGCACAGCTTTTGACTGACTTCTTCCTTGGCATTTGTTCACATTATTAGGAAATAGGGGCCTACTGGTATTTTTCAAATCCTTTGTTCATGACCCACAGTGAGATATACATACTATATTGCTATTCAGTAAAAACACACATGTAACTGAAACAAAAGCTGTAGAAAATAATATTTAATTTCTTGTGATGCAGTATTTTAATTTTCTTATATTTCAAATATTAAAAAGTTCCTCTCAGGACAAGTAAATTGATTTTACAAATTGATCAAGATCCACAGCTTGAAAAAACTGGACTAGACTGTGCTTGAGTGCAGAGACCATGACATATTCATCTTTCTGTTACTAAGTGCTAGAGCAGGTGCTCAGTAGATATTTGAATAAATTGGTAATTGAGAAGAGGAGTAAGAAGTGAAATCAGAGTTGTAAAAGGAATAGATGTTTTTGACAATGAAGTTCTTGGATATAATAAAGGCAGTCGAGGTAAAGCACTGTGGTACTTATGGTTGGTATGAAATTTGTTTGTTTGCAGGAAATAGAAACCAGTGTTAGCTGAAGCAAAGAAGAATATATTAAAAGGATTCAGGGTATCTCACAGAAATCAAGCGTAGGGGTGTGTCTTGTGATTTGGGAAGGGAATGAAACTAGAAAGTGGAATGACTTCAAGAGCCTAAGTGTGTTATCTTGTGTTTTTTCATCCCTGCTTCTTTCTTTGTGGCTTTTTTTTTTTTTTTTTTTTTGGGTGGCGGAATGGTTTCCTCTGCAGCCAAATGACAGAAGAATCTTCAGTTCACGTGACAGTTTATTTCCAAAGCTCCTGATTGTTTTACATTTTGGTTCCAGGCTTTAATACTGTATGTGACTTATAGGTGGTAGAATAAATTAGTCTTTTGATATTTACTGTATGCCATGAGTTAGTAGTTTCAAGTCACTGGTTTCAGATAAGATACCTGTATTAGTCTGTTCTCACACTGCTGTAAAAAACTACCTGAGACTGGGTAATTTATGAAGAAAAGCAGTTTAATTGACTCACAGTTCCGCAGGCTGTACAGGAAGCATGGCTGGGAGGTCTCAGGAAACTGGAAGCGAAGGAGAAGGGAAATCTTACCATGACAGAGCAGGAGAGAGTGAAGGGGGACGTGCCACGCACTTTCAAATAACAAGATCTCACGAGAACTCTTATTGCGAGAATAGCAGAACAAGAGAGTGAAGGGGGACGTGCCACAAACTCTCAAGTAACAAGATCTCGCGAGAACTCTGTCAGGAGAACAGCAGAGCAGGAGAGAGTGAATGGGGACGTGCTACACACTTTTAAATAAGATCTCGCGAGAACTCTATCATGAGAACAGCAGAGCAGGAGCCACTTTCAAATAACAAGATCTCTTGAGGACTCTATCACGAGAACAGCAGAGCAGGAGAGAGTGAAGGGGGACGTGTCACACACTTTCAAATAACAAGATCTCGCGAGAACTATCACGAGAACAGCAGAGCAGGAGAGAGTGAAGGGGGACGTGCTACACATTTTCAAACAACAATATCTTGCGAGAACTCTGTAAGGAGAACAGCACGGGGAAGTCTGCCCCCATGATTCAGTCACCCCCCCATCAGGCCCCTCCTTCAACACACGGGGATTACAATTGGATATGAGATTTGGGTGGGGACACAGAGCTGAACCATATCAACATCCTATTCTACAGTTCAGTATTTCCAGTAGCTTTGTTTTGCCTACTGGGTCAGATGAATACACATAGAATATATGCGTGTATGTTATAATCATTACTTGCAAAAGTGTTAATTCAGCACATTTTCACATCACATGTTCCTGGCACTAGGTTAGGCTGCAGAATAGTTACAAAGATGGATATAATGTACTGTATTTAGAATGACTTTTCCGGCCGGGCGCGGTGGCTCACGCCTGTAATCCCAGCACTTTGGGAGGCTGAGGCGGGCGGATCACGAGGTCAGGAGATCCAGACCATCCTGGCTAACATAATGAAACCCCGTCTCTACTAAAAATACAAAAAAAAAAAAAAAAAAAAAAAAAATCAGCCAGGCGCGGTGGTGGGCGCCTGTAGTCCCAGCTACTTGGGAGACTGAGGCAGGAGAATGGTGTGAACCTGGGAGGCGGAGGTTGCAGTGAGCCGAGATCGCACCACTGCACTCCAGCCTGGGCAACAGAGCGAGACTCTGTCTCAAAAAAAAAAAAAAAAAAAAAAAAAAGAATGACTTTTCTACTTGAAGGTTATGGCCTTGTTCCAGCAAAGTATATCAAGTCATGCACAGATGAGCTATGTTGATGATATCACTTCAGAATTAGTCTTCAGTTTTTCCAACTCTGCTTGTCTTGTTTCTCACTTTTAACTCTCCTTTTCTCATCTGAGATGGAAGACCTGAATACTTTGCCTTTTGACCTTTCTTCACTTTCTTGGCTCACTATTTATATTCTACATGTGGGCTCAGTCATTATTTTAATATCTGTCCTTGTAGCCTGACCCTCGGGTGCCCACAGCTGTGACCTGCCATCAGGGAAGTCTTTATTAGGCACAACATGGAGTCCTGAGCCCCTCTTGGACCCAAGTCAGAAAAACAGGAAAGTTGGACCAGAAAATAATGCTTGTTATCTTCAGGAAATGAACAGACAGATGCAGGTGATAAAATCACATACGTTTTAAATATAACATCATAACTGTCATAACTCAAGTTTGAACAAAATACTATAGGAAAGTTTATGCTAGTGACTGTCACATAGTAGGGCCTCCAGAAAAACTTTTGGAAAGAATCAGTAGTGAATGAGGATGTCCATTTATTCTGGTGTAGTTATAAATAGCCTTACTGAAGAGGTAGCATTTGAGCTATTTCTGCAGGATCTGTAAATTTTGGATAGTAGGTAGGCAGTGGATTGGGTACTTCTGCTGTACGCACAGCTTGTATAAAAGCACTAAGTTGTGAACAGATGGAGAATATTGATTGTGAATGTAGTATTGATTATGTGGGAGAATGGTTGGAGGTATTGGTTACAGCCAAGTTGAGAAAGGCTGTATAGGCCATGGTAGAGAATTTGGACCTTCTTTTCTTTTTCTTTTTCTTTTCTTTTCTTTTCTTTTCTTTTCTTTTTTTTTTTTTTTTGAGGCAGAGTCTCGCTCTGTTGCTCAGGCTGGAGTGCAGTGGCACGATCTCAGCTCACTGCACCCTCCGCATCCCAGGTGCAAGTGATTCTCCTGCCTCAGCCTCCCGATTAGCTGGGATTACAGGTGCCTGCCATCATGGCTGGCTAATTTTTTGTATTTTTAATAGAGACGGGGTTTCACCATGTTGGCCAGGCTGGTCTGGAACTCCTGACCTCATGGACCTTATTTTCTAAGAGTCACCTGAGAGTTTCCAATAGAGGAGTGATGAGGGAGAAGATTTATTATTTTATTTTATGTTTTTATTTTTTCTCTATTCTTACCCTTGAACATTCACCTCTCGAAAGATTTATTCTTCTGAAATATAACTCTGTGGTCAGTGTTAGCCTGAAGTGGCCAGAGATGATCAGTATGGACATGAATTAAGATGCTGTTTTAAAAGTCTATACAAGAAAAGGAAAAAAAGTCTACTCAAGAGATGGAAGGCTCCATATAAGGCTGTAGAAGTGAAAGCACAAAGGAGAACTTAAATTCGATATTCTTTGGGGAAGTAGACTTTACAGGACCATTTTCTTTAACCTAGAGCCAGATTTGGATTAGTCTGGTCCATTCGGTGTACTAGGTGGAATTTAATAAAGCTAAGCCCTGGGTACACCATTCCCATCCCCTTGTGTCCTCCTTCATAACTTTGATCTTGTGTCTGCCTGCTTAATGATACCTTAGCCATGTCTCCAGTTTTCCAACCTTGCAATGACTCCTTAGACCTGATTATAGATATTTGATTTCTCTTTGGATTTTGGCTATCACTCACCTTCTGGTCCCACTCATTTGTGGGTTCTTCGCATATTAAAACAAAGCAGGACAAAGAAACAGTCTTATGGGGAAAATATAAGTTATAATAAATGGTGCTAAATGCTTCAACAGAGGCATAGACAGAATACTGTGGAAGCTAGGTGGAAGGACTGCCTAATGCTCCTGGGGTCAGTTAGGGCAGAGGAGAAAATGCTTTAGCTTGGTGTTGGTGGATGAGTAGGTATGTTACATGGGAAATTTGAGGTGCCTGTGAGATATTCAGGTGGAGCTGACCAGTCCAGGAGATGGCTGGAGTGATGGATCTAGAAAAGCAGTGGGTCTCGACCTTGTGTGCCTATTAGGGAAACTAAACAACAAATTCATGCCTTGGTCCTATTCGTAGAGATACTGATTTAATTTATATGACACAGGGACACAGTTTGGTATGTCTTAAAATCGACTGAGGTAATGCTAATGTGAAGCCAGGGTTGACAATCGGAGCAACTCAAGAGAGAGATATTCCTGGAGAAGGTAGAGATAGGTGATAGCTGAAGGCTTAGATATATATCAGCTTAGAAACAGGGAGAATGAGAAGAAAATTGGGCCAGAGACAAATTCCTTTGGGATTACCAACATTGTGGTAGGTACCAAGGAGGTGGCCAGCAAAGAACCTGCAAACATAATTCCTACTCTTAATTGTACTGTTTTAATATAGGTTATTGATGTATTTTTGCATAGTTTTTCCCTGCTATGACTCAGAGTGGATATCAGCTATCAGGATATACTTTAAGTGCCTGATTCACGTATCTGTTGTTGATTGACAGACTGATGCAACCGATAAACATTAATTCTTTTATCATTGATGTAGAAAATCATGACCTTTAATTCATATCAGCAGCAAATACCTATATCTGCCTCCAAGTTTATTTAAAGGAATGCATGAAAGTAATAATTTCCAAGAATCCTTTTCAGAATTCAAAGTCACCTGTCATTTTTGCCATAAATTCTTTGAGGCATGAAATAGCCTGCCAGTTGTCTATTGCTCTCAAAGTTAATGAATGGTTATCAATTTATCATGGGTAATAACCTAGCTGCAAATTGTAAAGAACGCATTCTATCACTTTCTAGCATTTTTGCCTCAAGGCAGTATCTGGCTTTTCTATAGTATCTGGCTTTTCTATAGCATTTGGAGGCTCAGTGTCCCTAAAGCTTTTAATAGAACTCATTTCTTTCTAGGAAACCTCTTAACATTTGGTAATAGCTCAATGAAATATTAGCTGGTTATATCTTGCTTTGTGTAATAGATTTTGTGTAAATAAAATTTCTCAATGTAGGACTGGAAATACAATTTCTTGATGTACATTCAATCCAGTATAGCATGACGGTTTTAGAGATATTTCATTTTTATTTCCAATTCATATTCCATTCAGTTCTTATAAGCAAATGTGGTGGTTTTCCAATTCTCTATCTTCCTGGTTAGGTAGTTAATGATTGGAAAACAGGACTGTTTCAAGGAACTTTATTTTTAAAGGAATACTTTTTCTCTCCCTACAAAGTGAGAAATTCTCTATAACATGAGCTCTTTCAGATCAGGGACTTGGACTTGACTGTGTCTTTATTTAAAAAAACAAACAAAAAATGCTGGGTCTATGTCTTATTAAATTTAGCATTTCAGGCACTGAGCACAGCATCATAACTCAGTAAATATTTGCTGAATTAATGTGAATTATCACCCTACATCTTCAGTTATAAATTTGTTGTATTGTAGAGTGGGTTATCTAAGGGATGGGAGGACATTGATTTAACCCAATATGTGGCTTTTATTACAGTACTATAAATAGAGGTGACTACAGAGCTCAATGTGCCTATTTTCAGTCACAAACTTGATTTCAGTCCCAGTTTTTTCATTGTTAAACAGCTGCCCTTAGAGCTTGCATCCAGTCCTGTTGCTTTATATAAGAAATCTTTGAGTATTTTTATGTGTTTCCTTTTGACTCATTCAGTAAAAGCCTAGCACAGTGACTTGTTAAATTAACTCTGGTTACTGAAATTAATTAGTGAATATGTTTTAATGAAATAGGATGATAAACATTGCTGACGTTTGAGGCTTTAGTGTGTTTTTAATAATCCCTCATCAGTTATTACTACTGCCGTGGATTATTTGCCTGTGTACATTTTATAGTCCTCCAAATCTTTTCAGCTTCTAAAAGTTGGAAGAAATAAAATTCTATTCTGATTGATTGCTCCTTAGATTTTTATTCCTGTAATATATATGGGAACTCAGAGAGAAATTCTCCCATTATTAGTTTGCCTTATGTATTTCTTTTCATGTATTGCTTTGTATTCTCTTCATGTTTGTTTCTCCAAGCATATAATAAATATTTCTCTTGATGGAATCATACCTCACATTTTATTTTGACTGCTGCAGAGTTGTGCCCATAGTAGCAACTCCATAAGTAATGGTTGCCTGGTTGCTTGACTGACTGACTGATTATGGTGCTAATGGTGACGGTTAAAGCATTTTTCCCCACCTCAATGCATAGCAGTTTCTTTATGGATGCACACCTATCCCATTAAACTATTTCCTACAGAGAATCTTGGTTTCCCATGTTAACTCATTTCATAGTTGAATGATCCTTACTTTTTAGGGGACACTTCTCTGAATGTTTATTCAGGATTTCTCTTTTTTGCATTGTGAACAATTTCTTCACGTATTACCTAATCTGATTTGACTGGGCATTAACTGCCAACCTTAGGCCTTAAAGTGGAATAGGAGCCGACTAGAAGATCCACTTGTTCCATCAGATCCTCACCCAACTTCAGTGCTTTATTAGTAGTTAAAATGTGGACTGTTGTAAGGTGTAGTAGAGATTTACTAACAGTTTGCAGAAAAGTGTTTCTGTATCATGACCGTGCTCTTGGGCTGGTAATAGAAGGTATTAAATTTGTTAAGGGTTGGCCTAAAAGATTGGGCATAATTGGGTTAGCTGACAAAGCTCAAGTGTATTGCATACACCTGATCCAGGTAGGTGGCGAAACGGTGGGCCTTTTTAAGGCTGGTTTGCTTTCAACCCTGTGGCTTTTACTTAGGTGCCTGAGGAGCATTTTAAGTCAGTTCATACCTTTTGAATACCTCGCTTTTGGTAAATTTGGAGTTTATGTTCACTGATAAACCAGCAGGGTTGTAATTTTTTATTCAAATAGGAACTATCTACTTATTTTTATTTCTAGTTATTTTACCTTTTTTGTCAGTAGTGTAAATAGCATCTTTTTATAGTATATTTTCTAAGTTTTTATTGTTTACATATAGAAGCATCGTAGTTTTATGTGATTTTGTAATCCACCACTGTACTAAATTCTCACTTATAACAATGTTTCAACTTTTTTCTCCCTTGAATTTTGCAAATGTGTCATATCATCTGCATATATGGATACTTCCGCCTCCTTCAGTCCGATATCGTGTTTCATATAGCATAGTGGTGAGAAGCACCGGCTCTGGAACTATGACTGCTTGTGTGTTAAGCCTGTTTCTACTAACTTGCTAGCTATGTGACTTTGCGCAAGCTACTTATGTTCTCTGTGCCTTGCTCTCTCCCTCTGTAAAATGAGATAATAATAGTACTGCCTTATTATTATGACGATTATATGAATTAAATGATTTAGTATTTGTAAAGTGTTCAGAACAGTATCTGACATATAGTAAGCACTGTAAAAATGTGTGGTAAATAAATAAAACTCACATAAGATTTTTTTTCCCTTGCATTGGCTAGTATGGTACTTCTAGATGAATATTAATCTAGAAGCCCAATGGTGGGCTTTCTTTATTCCTCCCAGACTTCAACAGAAATGCTTGTGTGTGTCATTGTTTTAGTGTTTCAGTAATGTTTCCAGTAAAACATTAGAAAGTTATAGACTGATATGAAATGTATTTTTCCATTATGTTAAGGAAATAGTCATCTATTGCTATTTTGCTAAGCGTTAAAATCAGGAACGGTTTAAAAATTTCATCATGTCTATTTGGCATCTACTTAGATGGTCATATAACTTTTCTTTTTTGACCTACTTATATGGTTGCTTGTATGAGTAGAGTTCCTAATAGTGAACTCTCCTGGAATCACTGGAGTAAACAGTTGTGCCTATAGCCTATCCTTCATTTAGTGCATTTATGAGTTCTCATTGCTATTACTTTTAAAGTTTTTGCACCAATATTTATAAATGAGTCTTTTTTTTCCGTTTCTTTTTTGAAACGGAGTCTTGGTTTGTGGCCCAGGCTGGAGGTGCGAACTCTGTCCACTGCAACTTCCACCTCCCAAACGAGTTCAAACGATTCTCGTGCCTCAGCCTCCCCAGTAGCTGGTAGTACAGGTGCACAACACCACCCATAATTTTTGTATTTTTAGGAGAGACAAGGTTCTGCCATGTTGGCCAAGCTGGTCTCGAACTCCTAGCCTCAAGTCATCCACCCATCTTGGCCTCCCAAAGTGCTAGAATTACAGGTGTGAGCCACCGCCCCTGGCCCGCAAGTGAGATTTGACAGTAATTTTTAATGTGTTCGTTGTCAGGTTTTGGTGTCACTGTGTGATGCTGTAAGTATTTGACAGTTTCCTTCCTTTTTCTATATTTTAGAAAAGTTTAGGTTTAGTGATCTATTCTTTTAAAATTTAAAAGAATGTTAAATTAGAATAGGAAGTGAGAGATTTAGTCCTGCTGTCTTAATTTCACAGATGAAGAAACAGTGGCTTCTTTACAGCCACTTCATGTCAGCTACTTGGGGTAAGCAGTTGCGGTTGTGCTACGGAGGTGAGGAAATAACATTTATTGAGCATTTATGTAGGCATTTAAAAAAACAGTATATTTTTGATGTACTTGTTAGATTTGGGTTTTGCTTATTTGATATCTAAAGTTAAAGTAAAAAAATTTTATTGACTAAAAAAAACTACTTTTTAGAGTAGTTTTAACTACATAGCAAAATTGAGTGCGTAGCACAGAGAGTTCGCATAGACCCTCTTCCTCTACACATGCACAGCCTCCCCTACAATGGACACCCCCCGCCAGAATGGCACGTTTGTTGCAACCGATCACCTTCTACTCATGACATTATCACCCAAAGTGAATAGTTTACATTAGCGTTCACCCTTGGTGTTGTAAATCCTATGGGTTTTGACATATGTGTAATGACATGTATCCACCATCATCATATCATAGAGTAATTTCCCTGCCCCCTGAATCCCCTGTGCCCTACATATTCATCCCTTCCCTCCCCAGCTCCTGGTCATCACTGATCCTTTTACTGTCTCTATAGTTTTGCCTTTTCCTAAATGTCATACAGTTGGAATCGTATAGTGTGTAGCCTTTTCACATTGGCTTCTTTCGCTTAGTAATATTCACTTAAGTTTCCTCCGTGTCTTTTCAGAGCTTGATAGCTCATTTATTTTTAGTGCAGAATAATATTTCATTGTTTATAAAATGCTGTTGGTTTTGAATGGCTGAATGTCTTTCCCGAAGATAACTTAGTCACCTTTTAATCCCAGAATCTTGTCAGTCAGCTAACAGATATTTATTGAAGGCCAGCAAAGTGCTTTGCCATTCTCCTAAACCCTGAGGAGACAGCAGTGATCAACACAGACAAGAGCTGTGTCTGTCCTTCTGGAGCCTGGCATAATTTCCAGGACCGGCAGGCACCTGCTGAATGTTTGTGGTTGAAGTATGTTAGTTTGTGACCCACCATTGGGAGATTCTTTGTCTTTAGGGAATTTCCAAATGTGGTAATATGCATTTATTTACACTAGGTGGTGGTAGAGTCATGTACACTGAACAGTTGGCACCTTAATTAAGTCACTAATTGTTTGCTTATAAATATAGTTCACTTCATAATGATTAAAATTTAAATACGTTTATATTAATTCACTGGAATGTAATCATTAATTAAAATGTGAACTTGTAGTACATCTTTCAGAATAAATCCCAATAAGTAGACTTTCTCAAATTCTTCAGTTTGCTTCCTTTGTTTAATAATCACGCATTTACTGAGATTCAGTTACATGCTAGGCATTGTGCCAGCGTGGAGGATTCAGTGTCGAATATGATTCCTTTTTGTCCTTGAGATGTCACAGTTTAGTGAGGGAGACAGAAATGAGACTAGATCCATTAAGTGCAGTGGAATGCCTATGTCTTAAGTATACCATTCGATGAATTCCGACAAATGCATACACCTGTGTAACCCAAATCTTTATGAAATTATAGATCACTGCCATCTTGGGGTGGGCATTTTTCAGGGCCGTGTGCAGCTGAGTAAGCAAAAGAAGCAGGTTGAGAGAAGAACAACGGAGGTGATCAAATCAAGCATTTCCTGAGAGAGCAGCCTGATTTATTGAGTTATTTATCAGTTGAAACTCAGTCTTTGGGAGTCTGGGATGTCCCTATAGTTCTGTTGATGAGTTTTTTTTTTTTGAGATAGAGTTTCGCTTTTGTTGCCCAGGCTGGAGTGCAATGGTGCGATGTCGGCTCACCTCAACCTCCGCCTCCCGGAGGCGTTCAAGCCATTCTCCTGCCTCAGCCTCCTGAGTAGCTGGGATTACAGGCATGTGCCGCCACGCCCGGCTAATTTTGTATTTTTAGCAGAGATGGGGTTGCTCCATGTTGGTCAGGCTGGTCTCGAACTCCCGACCTCAGGTGATCTGCCCACCTCGGCCTCCCAAAGTGCTGGGATAATAGGTGTGAGCCACCATGCCCGGCCTGTTGATGAGATTTTACATGAACTAGTTTGGGTCATTTTCTGTCACAGTAGTCAAAACGGTATGCCGAAGCTGCAACACTCATCTTTTAGTTTCTAAAGTGAGGGACTTGGCTCTATACTCCCAATAACATTACTTAAAAACAAACAAAAAAAACCTTTCCACACCTAACGTCAGCAGGTTCATACTCACAGGATTAAAGGTTTCAAAGCTGAAGAACATAGCCCAGTCAGAGCACCTGACTTCATTGACACTTCTCTGTGTCAGGCACGGTGTCCTTTTGTGTTTATTTTCTCTTCTTAGGGCAGCCCTAAGCAGTGGGTGCTTATTGTTCCCTTCATGGAGAACATCAGTGAGGAAATGGGCGTTCAAAGAGATTCTAGAACTTGCATCAGGTAATCGCTGGAGAAGTCAGATTTCCAAACACAGGTCTCACGTTCAAAGAGATTATAGAACTTGCATAAGGTAATCGCTGGAGAAGTCAGATTTCCAAACCCAGGTCTTCCTGGCTCCAAAGCAGGTCCCTCCTGCCCCATATCACACTGTCTCAGAAGAAGGAATTCTAAGTTAAAGAGCAAAAACATCACAAAAATAACTAATTGATTTTATTCTGGTTGTGGAAATAAATGAGGTCTACCCAAATGAGTACAATCAAAGGCTACTTATTCAGAGCTTTCTTTATATAGTAAGGGAATCCACCACCATCTATTCAATTTGGTGGAGATTCAAGGAAGACAGAGGAATGGGAAAACTTTTGTTTATTTTATTTTTTTTCTGGAGATAGGCTCTTGCTCTGTTGACCACGTGGAGTGCAGGGGCGTGATCATGGCTCATTGCAGTCTCGACCTCCCAGGCTCAAGTGACTCTCCCATCTCAGTCCCCCCTGAGTAGCTGGAACTACAGGCATGTGCTACCATGTCCAGCTAATTTATTTTTATTTTTTGTAGACACTGGGTCTCACTATGTTTCCCAGGCTCATCTTGAAGTCCTGGGCTCAAGTGATCTTCCTGCCTTGTCTTCCCAAAGTGTTGGGATTACAAGTGTGAGCCACTGTGCCCAGCAGGGTAAACTTTAGAGTGGAAAAAAGGGAAGGTTTCAGGTATGCCCTGTTTGTAGGCTGTTCCTGTGGGAAGCTGTAGGTGAGCCAACTAAAAGCATAGCAACCTGTGTGATTAGTTAAGGGTACATTTTTGGCTTTCTCTGGTTGGTCCTACATTGGAAGCAGGAGCAAAAATTAGGGAAGCTGACAGTTACTAATCATTTCCTGGCCATTTTGTCCTTTTTTTTTTTTTTTTTTTTTTTTAAAAAAAAGAGATGAGATCTTGCTGTGTTCCCCAGGCATGATCACAGATAGTGTGGCTTTGTACAAATTCTTAAGGGCATTGTTGGGCTTCCTGGGCTAGTTGCTAGACAGTAACCAGTCTGACTTCCTAGACTGGTTATTGTAGATAATAGGTTGGTTGCCTGGGCTTGTAGCTGCAGGTCGTGGGTCGTAGTTACCTACGATCTGGCCTTTGACCATTTGTTTATTTAGTCTCTCAGTAGATATGTTGGGGATGGGTATTCCCTGCCAACAAATTGATTGTATAACATATTCAAAGTTCTGTTTTCATAGGATAATGACAGTTGACTTTTGGAAAGGGAAGAGTAGAGGATGAGGAGAAGAGCATTTATTGAACAGCAGTTTTATCTTAGTCTCTGTGCGTTGGTTCTCAAAGCGTGGTCTCCAGAATAGTGGCTTCAGCATCATGTATTGTGATCATGTAAGAGATTATGTTATTATTTTTTTTTGAGACGGAGTCTCGCTCTGTTTCCCTAGCTGGAGTGCAATGGCGCGATCTTGGCTCAATGCCGCCTCTGCCTTCCGGGTTCAAGCAATTCTCCTGCCTCAGCCTCCCGAGTAGTTGGCATTACAGGCATGCGCCACCACGCCTGGCTAATTTGATTATGTTATTCTTAATAGGAATCATATGCCAAAGGTCTTAGGGATGAGTTAAAATGTATGCAACTTATTTTCAAATGGATGAGCAAAAGAACGTACAGATACACATATGTAGAGAGGAAGCAGACGTGGAAAGTTGTTAACAAATGTTGAATCTGGGGAAGGGTATATTAGTGCTTGTTGTATTTTGATCTCCTCACCTCTTCTATTTGAAAAAAGTGGGAGGAAAGCAATTCTCTTAAAAAGCTGGAAGTGAAACAGTAGAGCTCAGTAATCCAAGTGATGATTACATGGCAATTAATTCCCCAGAGGAGATGGGGCTGCTTCTAACTGGGAGAAGGTGTAGAATGAAGAACTGACTAAGCATAGAGCTGACCTGCCTACTGTGATTTATGGTGTGTGTGTCCTGCTAGCTCTCCTTATGTGGATACTTCTGTAGACTATAAGACTGAAAAAGAAATATTGGAAAGACAATCATTTCTTGTATTGAGATAATCTTTTAAGACTGGTGAGACAACTTCAGGTGCGTGGCCTCTGAATCAGTCAGTTTCTGTCTCGTGTATTTGTGAGAGAAACTTCTGGAAATTTTGTTTTCAAATGTCAAATATATTTCAGTATTTTCATCTTGTCATAAGTTTGGAATTTTCCTCTGAATTTTATAGCCAAGAATTTTTCTGTCTTGAAGAAGTTGATTATTTGTATTACGGTAATAATTTTACAAGTACTCTTTTCTCATAGCACATTTTGTTACACAGTGTTCCGAAAGTTATTGGGACCAGAAATGTAAAGTGATACACTCTACTTACTTAATTACCTCCCCAATTCCTCTGATAAAGGCAAGACATTATAGATGATCCTATAATTAAATCTGGTTTCCGAAGGAAATGTTATAACAATACATTTAACATTTTAATGCAGTCTTCATTTATAGGATTTGAGATTGCTACTTGAAAGCTATATAGTTTAAAATATAAAACTTGCTCTAAGTTATGGTGTGATTAAATTAGATAGGATGCCATTTTTTTTTTTTTTTTTTGGAGACGGAGTCTGGCTCTGTCACCGAGGCTGGAGTGCAGTGGCACGATCTCGGCTCACTGCAACCTTCGCCTCCCGGGTTCAAGCGATTCTCCTGCCTCAGCCTCCTGACTAGCTGGGATTACAGGCATGTGCTAGCATGACTGGCTAATTTTTTGTATCTTTAGTAGAGACGGGGTTTCATCATGTTAGCCAGGATGGTGTCGATCTCCCGACCTTGTGATCTGCCCACCTCAGCCTCCCAAAGTGCTGGGATTACAGGCGTGAGCCACAGCGCCCGGCCTAGGATGCCATTTCTAAATTACCGTGTTCCTGCAGTAATAGACAACTCCTTTTAACAGTGTCATCAGATGCCTCAAGTTACATAGGTTCCTAAAATTCATCCCCATATGGTACCTATTTAAATCGTAGATAAGTTTTAATTGAATTTTAGAAATGAAACCTGTCATGGAGATCCTGTTGCAAGCTCAAAGAGCTACATTAAATGGGTTTAGAAAAACAGCACCTCTAATATCTCTGATGTGGAGGTTCCATTTATTAGAGATTAGTAGGTTTTCTCTCCCCGGTCACAGAATTTATTGGATAATATAGTGGTTTCATTTTTGACATTCTTTGAAAGATTATGTTTTTATATATAGTAAATGGTCATGCCTTTTCTTACTAGATAAATAGAATTATTTCTAGAGTTGTCTTTAGGACAAATATGATAATACTTTTTTTATGGATATATCATTGTGATGTCTTTGATTCTCTGCTTACTTGTTATTTGCTACATGTAGTGATATATTCTGCTTCACAGTTTGGCCAGTAGTAAAATGAGCCATGATTTTGGGCTCTGCTTCCTCAAAAGCACTAGGAGACAATGCAGTATCCTCTTCACTATTTCAATACTTGGTCTTTATTTTAGAGGCAATTGATATGTTTACATCCAGGGTCTTCTGACTTACCTTAGTAGATGGGAAAGTAAAGATTAAAAAAACAACCAATTCTAGTGAAGGTTTAAAAGTATGAAATGGAATTAACTGTGTGATTTTGCATGAACTTGGTGTGTGGGAAATTCATTAGTTATGCATTCATATGGTTTTCAGTCTTATCAGATGTACAGTAATGCCTTGCTTTTTATGAGTTTTTAAGTTAATTCTCTTATTCCCAGGTTTTTTTTTTGTTTTTTTTTTCCTTTTTGGATGTCCACTCAAAGGCAAAGCTCCGGTCCCATTTCAGAAGTGAGAGTGTTTATAAGAATTAAGTCTAAGTCATTCAGGCACATTAATTTCTTATCTGTACTAAGCTCTCTCAGACAAGTGGCTGGAAGTCCCCTCCATACTTGTACAAATTAAATTCCTAATCTCTTGGTTTGCAAAAGACTGTCTTAACAGCTGTAGGGGTTTTCTAACTCAGCCCTCCTAAGTTCGTTTTCTTTGTTGTTAACTGTGTTGTATGTTTTTAGACCCCGGGCATCTTAAATGCATTTAGAAATTCAGATACAGATTTGAGAGTATCTATAAAAAAGCAGAATTTTACTAGTGCTGTTTATCCCTTGGGTCAATAGTAAGAAGGACAAATTCTTATGTTCTACCTTAAACTATACTCTGATTGGGGTTACATTCATGGAAGGCAATTTTAGGGACATAGGACAGGCCTGTAGTTGAAAATATGTCTCCATTTTGCCTGAGTTGGCTTGGTGTTCCTAAAAACCTTCTTTTCACTCATAGTCTAAACTGCTGGCAAAAATGGGCAGTGATTTACACTCAGGAGAGGGTTTTATTTGATTTATTAATTTGACAGTAAGGACAGGCTTAGCAATTAGATTGTTTGGTGGACATATTTTATTAAGTAAAACTCTCCCTCCTAATGTTGTGTTAGCATTTATTGAATGTTTACTACATGCTACGTTTTGTGCTAAGTGCCTTGTGTTATTTCATTTAATCCTCACAACAATTCAGTGAAGTACAGATACTTAAAACATCATCACTGCCATCATCAACATCAATAGTGCTCCTGTCTTAAAGAGGAGGGAACAAAGCCCCAAGGAGATAAAGAAATTTATTTAAAGTCACATGGCTAGTAAGTAGTACAGGTGGAATCCAAACCCCAGACTTTCTGATTCCAGAATCCAAGCTCTGCACCCCTATGTCAAATTTGCGTATCCTAAAGCTTTTACCACATTGCCTTGTTATCTTTATTCTGCTTCTATTCTTAGAACATTATGACTGACAGCTTTTGCGTTTTGTGTGCCTGGCTTCCAATGTTGAGTTAAGCACTCTGGAGCTGTTTTTTAGATTAGTTGTCTTTAAAGTGGGTGTATATATACACTTCGGGATTCATGGAGACTTTTCAGGAATTTTGCATGCAAAAATAGTTTTAATGGTATTTAGATGCTCAATGTCTGCATTTGATAATTTCTAATATGGTTGCCTGAGAGCACCTGTGGCAGAGTGAGTCTTCCTTCCTACCTCTCCATTCACAAATTGCTTTCCTCCCACTTGACAAAGGCAGTCAGTCATGCTTCTGACCCAGCACAAATCTTACAATATTTGATTGCTTCAGGGAGTGTAAATCCTCTGGTTCACCCACTAAAGGGACCATTTAAGAATTCTTAGGTTCTGGGGCTGGGCGCGATGGCTCATGCCTGTAATCCCAGCACTTTGGGAGGCCGAGGCGGGTGGATCACAAGGTCAGGAGTTTGAGACCAGTCTGGCCAACATGGTGAAACCCCGTCTCTACCAAAAATACAAAAATTAGCCAGGCGTGGTGGCACATGCCTGTAATCCCAACTACTTGGGAGGCTGAGGCAGAAAATTGCTTGAACCTGGGAGGCGGAGGTTTCAGTGAGCGGAGATCAAGCACCTGCACTCTAGCCTGGGTGACAGAACGAGACTCTGTCTCCAAAAAAAAAAAAAAAATTCTTAGGTTCTGGGTGTGAATTTGAAGATAGCAAAGTGATGACTGCTTTGGTCAAAATCATAGATGTTTCCTCCAGGTAACAAACCCATGGCAGGACTCCATACCTTATTTCTTTCTTTTAGAATCAAGTTGATTGTTGTCTGTCTGTGGTGGTGATGGGTGGTGAGGGAGGGTTTATAGGGAAGGCAGATTAGCACTTTTATTTGAAATGAAATATGAATTTTTTGACAGAAAGTAAGTTTTATTTGATTTATTGATTTGACAGAACAGGCTTAACAATTAGATTGTTTGGTGGACATATTTCATTAAGTAAAAGAGTGAAATCTACAGCTGCAGGGTTGCAACAATAATATTTAAGATACGTATATACCATACTGGAAACTATATCCATGCCATCATTAAATTAACATGTCAACCTAAAATGTCAGAAGAGCACAAGGTTTTTCAAAATTCTTTTAGGAAATGTACAAGTGAAAAAATTGGTGTTAGGTTCCTGTGCCCATCTTCCCTGCCACTACACCAGCCCAACCCTCCCTTGCCCCAGACTGGCTAGCATCTCTATTTGTATGGGAAAGGAGTTAGGACTTATTTCTTTCAAGTGTTTTAAAATTAGATTGTTATCTACCTGAATAACTTTCATTACATTAATCTCAATTGCTGAATCGCTTTTCTGAGAGGCTGCTTCTTAATGGTGTTACATGTATATTGATTCTATAGGAGACTGTTGCCTTTTGAGGAGTTACATTGTAGAGCTTCCTAAATAAATTGAGATTCAGCTAATTTATAGTAATGTCCAACCATGTATCAAATTCCATTAGGTAAGTTGGTGAATGTAACGCTGTACTTGCAGATGGAGAAATGTACAGTTTGAGGATCAAACTGAAAGATATTAAATAGGGTTTAACACATTAGAATCTTACTCCTTGGTGAAACCAGTGTTACTGATTGGTAAGAGGAGGTTGAGGAAAATTTCTTAGGCATGTATATATGTGAACCAAAATGTTACTTAATGCAAATACATAAGAGAGTAAAACAAAACAAAAACAACTGGAAGGAATATACAAAATCCAAAATAGGAAGAGCTACCATACATTTTTAAATTTAAATAAGAAGAATTTAAATACAGTAGAGCATAAAATCTGAAGTTGGGAGCCTGGTGCACTGTAAGGGAAGTTGCTAGGCAAGAATTCTGGAAGGGAGATAAGATGCCCTGAGGTGGAGTGCACAGTGTGGAAGAACTAACCGTCCTTCCCAGGGCACAGATTCTTACCAGAGTCTGGCTCCCAAGATCATCTATCCATTCCCTTTTTGCCTTCCTTCATTTCACAAAAGCTTTGAGGAAGCAGTACCAGTGTTTGCGTTAATGGGTCTGCTTCACTTATTCATAAACCTCTGGCCTATTTCAATACTGTGTTCAAAATATATATATATTTTTAAACTTAACCTCCAACTGGTCTCCAATTTCACATCAGTATATTTCTTTATCATTAGATTCTTTCATTTTCTTATTTTCTGTGTAACTACTTTTACTTTGTTTTCTCTTTTCAGTAGTCTTTTTTTATTATTTTATTTTTTTTTGAGAAGGGGTTTCGCTCTTATAGCCCAGCCTGGAGTGCAGTGGTGGGATCTTGGCTCATTGCGACCTCTGCCTCCCAGGTTCAAGCAATTTCCTGCCTCAGCCTCCCGAGTAGCTGGGATTACAGGTGTGCGTCACCACGCCCAGCTGATTTTTGTATTTTTAGTAGAGGCGGGGTTTCACCGGGTTGGCCAGGCTGGTCTTGAACTCGTGACCTCAGCCTGCCTCGGCCTCCCAAAGTGCTGGGATTACAGGCGTGAGCCACCATGCCTGGCCTCAATAGTCTTTTAGTGAAGACTTTTCCATAAGGGTTTATTGTTTTTGTGCCTGTGCCATACCTCTAATGGATTATCACATCATTCCTTCCTTCCCTGAAGAAAAGGTACTTCATGGTATGACTCAAGTAACACCTCCATGGTGCTCCCACAGCGCTTACACATTGTAGCACTTATTATATGATATAGTTCATGGTGGTGAATAAATTGGGTTCCTCAGCTAAGTTATAAAAGCCTTGAGAGTGTGTCTCTATTATGTGTGATTCTTCAGTGCCTTCCATAGTGCCTTGCACATGATAGGCATTTTCTGCTTGTTGACTGAATGAATAGATACATGAACATCAAAGATAGTAAAGAGAAAGAAGGTGGGGCGCGTAAGTTCACGCCTGTAGTCCCAGCACCCTGGGGGCCCGAGGCGGGAGGATCACTTGAGGCCAGGAGTTGCAGACCAGCCTGGCCAGCATGGTGAAACCTCATCTCTACTAAAAACATAAAAATTAGCTGGACATGCTGGCATGTGCCTGTGGTCTCGGCTACTTGGGAGGCAGAGGCAGGAGAACCGTTTGAACCCAGGAGGTGGAGGTTGTGGTGAGCTGAGATGGCGCCACTGCACTCCAGGCTGGACGACAGAGTGAGACTCTATCTCAAGGGGGAAAAAACAAAGAAAGAAAGAAATATAGGCATTAGCCCCTAAAATGTCAGTGAGGCATTTTTTGTCCTTGTTTCAGTGCCTTTGTTGAGCCACTGGAATGCTTTCTGATCTCTTGAAGATTTGAAAGCTCCAGTGATAATCCGAAAAGGAGTGACCTGGCAGTAACAGGTAATATCAGCTTCCTGGTTTTAAATTTGCCTCCTCAATATAGTGAATGGTGGTACTTTCATTTCAGGGTTCTTTTCAGTATGAAATAAGATAACTTGGAGTCAGTGTAACCACAAATTTTGCAGCGTAGTTACAAATTATGCATTTACTCCATAGGTGAAATGACCTTGAAACAAAGACATTTTGGTACTTTAGTAAGGAAACGTACACAAATGACGACCAAGAAAGAACTGGCTCAGCGTGAATTTTACCTACCACTATTACTCATTAGAGATCTTCCTGTAAACTCCTAGTCGGTTCTTTCAAAGTCTTGGATAAAAAGCTCCTCTTCATGTGTCTGGAATGTGCGTGTACTTACGAACGGCAGGGTAAGTGGGGACGCACAAAACAGAGATTAAGGGTCACCTATAATTTACTTCTACGTAATGTAACCAGATTGGAGGACCATGTTGCTCCCCACTAACAGGTGTGTGTAATTCCCAGTGGCCTTCAACCAAGCAGTAGGCATATATAGTCTTACACACATGGCACTGAGGTTATTGTTCCATTCACAGAGGGATTTCTTCCTCTTAGGAAAATACAAAAGACGGGGTATGCCAGGACATTCAGAAAGATGGTCACAGATGCGAAAGCCCCAATCCATGGAGCTTGGTCATTAGGAAAGGGATTTTGTGAACTTGTATCTTTCTGTGAAAGCTCACAGTGCTGCTGCTGGTTGTTTTAATTACCCTTTGCTACTCCTATATCATAGTAAAAAATGAGGCTTTCCTTTTTAGTCACATCGAAGATCTTCAACATGTTTCTACATTTATTTTAACGTAGTTTTTATGCCCCCAAATATTTTTTTTCATAGATATATACTTCTAGATTTGGAGAGAGAGTTCCTACATCACTAGTTTCTGCCTGAAAATACTTTTATAAATTTGACTTCATAATTAAAAAAATATACTGTCATGATTATTTAGTTTGTGATCCAAAATATCATTAGATATTGATAGGTAGTTTGCATATCAGTGTAGTGGGTGTGACGATATCTTCCTCACAGGCTGTTTGTGAGGATGAAATAACTTCTGCAAAGTGCTAATGTCGTGCTTGGCAAACGGTAAGTACTCAATTTGTGGGAGGTATCTTTTGCTAATGTTAATTTTTAATGATATTTAGTGACATGGGGCAAATAATCACATTAAGTGGTAAAAATAGATTCCAAAATGGCATCTGAGGTCTTGAAAAATAAAATTTTCTCTATCTATATATTTTTTGTGTATATTGGTTTAATAGTGGTTGTCTTTCTAGGTGATGGGATTATTTTCTTCTTTTTATTTCTCATGTAGAGTAAGTCCTCACTCAACATCATCAATAGATTGTTGTAAACTTCAAGCAAAATGACTTCTAACGAAACCGATTTTACCACAGGCTAATGGATATAAACAAGAGTTAAGTTCCTATGACATACTTCTGATCATAGAAATATCATCAAACTTATAAAGAACTAAAACACTTTTTTTTGAGACAAGGTCTCACTCTGTTACCCAGGCTGGAGTGCAGTGGTGCGATCATGGCTCACTGCAGCCTTGACCTCCCAAGCTTAAGTGATCCTCCCATCCCATCCTCCCTGGTAGCTGGGACTATAGGGGCACGCCACCACTCCCAGCTAATTTTTCTGTTTTTTTAGTAGAGATGTGGTCTCGCCACGTTGCACGGGCTGGTCTTCAACTCCTGGGCTCAAGTAATCCGCCCACCCCCGCCTACCAGAGTACTTAGTACTTCTAGCACATTTATTGTGCTTCTAGTGTGAGAATATACAACTGTCTTTTTTTTCTTAAGAGTCAGTCTCACCCATTTTAAGTGTAGAATTCAGTGACTGTGAGAGGAGAGAAGCTAAAGGCACACTAAGGAAAGAAACAGGCCCCATGCTAAAATACTTTGAGGGTTACCAAAGGTGATAATTGTTGGTGTGCCTATGAGCGTTTGTCTCAGGAGATAAAATGTGCTGCTTCTGTTCTAAAAAATGGGCCATGTCATTGGCCTCCTGGGAAGTATTTTTTATTGTTTCCAAGGTGAAGATACATGAGAAGGCTTCTAGGCTTTTACATAAAGTCCACGGAAACTTGAATTGTTGGACTATACAGTGAATCCTTTGAATCCATGGTTTTCACATCTGTGGATGCAGCCAGGCTTGGATTCAAAATATTTGGACTGGGTGTGGTGGTGTTTGCCTGTAGTCTCATTTCCTAGGGAGGCTCAAATGGGAGGATTGCTTGAGCCCAGGAGTTTGGGGCCAGCCTGGGCAACATAGCAAGACCTTGTCTCTTAAAAAAATAAAAATAAAAAATTGGGAACCCCCCCCCCCGAAAATAACAATGTGGCAATAAAAATAGTACAAATAAAACCAATACAGCATAACAACTATTTACATAGCATAGTCAGGGGTCCCCAGAGCCCGGGCCGAGGACCGGTACCACTCCCATGGCCTGTCAGGAACCAGGCCGCACAGTAGGGAGTGAGTGGCGGGTGAACGAGCATTATTGCCTGAGCCCTGTCTCCTGTCAGATCAGCAGCGGCATTAGATTCTCACGGGAGCGTGAACCCTATTGTGAACTGTGCATGTGAGGGATCTAGGTTGCACACTAGATCTCACAGTATGAGAATCAAAGTAATGCCTGATGATCGGATGATTGGATGATCTGATGGTTTCATCCCAAAACCATCCCCACTCCGCCCCCCGCCCCAGCATCTGTGGAAAAGTTGTCTTCCACGAAACTGGTCCCTGGTGCTAAAACGGTTGGGGACCACTGTTATACGTATTCTAGGGATGATATAAAGTATACAAGAGGATATGCATAGTTTATATGCAAATACTATGCCATTTTATAGAAGGGACTTGAGCATCCATGGATTTTGGTATCCGTGCTGGGGGCCAGGGAGGGGGTTGGTGTCCTGGAATCAATCCCTGGAGGATACAAGGGAGGGAAGAGTACCAGGAAAGTAGTTCCTCTGGTCCTGAGTTGACTTCGTTTTTCAGTGTCTTACTCCACTTGTCTCTTATCATTCACCCCTAAGCCTGTGCTCTTGATGGTTGAAAATTTATTTTACTATGTGTGTTTTATATTAGAAATCTGATCATACGATATATTTGCAGGAAGAAATATATAAATAAGAGACTACTGACTAGATTTTGTTTTCCTATTGTTAACATCATTTATATTTTGGCAAAAGGGAGTTGGATCTCATATATAAAAATTCCCTCTGAACGTTTGCCAGAATCAGTATGCTGTCATTCCTAGTTAAAAAGATTTTCTTTTTTCAAACTTAACATGCATCTCCTTTTTTGCATAGCAGATGGGAAAGATCAATGAGCTGCAGTAGAGAATTACAGGGTTTTTCCCCCCTCTATTTGATCTTTGATCTTAAAACAGCTTTTAACCCTATAGTAATCTCCCAAGAGATTTGAGAAAATATTTTGTAAAACAAAATTATGAGGACTATGAATACGTAATTGGTATTCTCCCAGCATTCTGACAAACTTTAAGCAAATGCTTTTAAGAAATCATTGTCAGCTGTTATGTGTTTTTTATTAGGTTGAATTCTCAGTATAATTTATGTCCACATGCATTATTGCATTTCAGTTTTGAATTTTATTGTTATGGAAATAATGAGAGTTTTCTTGATATAACAACAGCTGGAAAAAATGACAGTGATCAACAGTCAAAACTCTAAGTTTTAAGATTAAAAATTATATTAGAATATTTTGGAATGCTGCTTTTAAGTTGATTTTTCAATAAACTTTAAATTTGTTTCATAGCGTTATCTTTTAGCAAACAAATTCACGCATTAATAAAAACAAAATTGTGTACAGAAAAAGCATGGCTTCTAATCTTAAAAGCAAGACTAAACACAGAAACATCTGGACAATGACAAGTTCATGACTTTTGTTTTTTAACCCATCAGATTGCTGAGGTTATAGGGCAATCGGCTAGCTTGACGTCTAAGAAGAGACAGATGTAGGGAAAGACATCAGCACTTGCTTACCTGGGGCACCCACAGCTGGACACTGGTAAGCATTCAGCTAGAATAGTTAACCAAATTGATGGATGCTGCATGTGGGCTGGCAAGAAAGTGTGAAGACCCTGGGAACTGTGGATGAGGGGAGTTCATACCCACCTGTAGGCTTTTTCTCCAAAAACTCTACCAGGTGCTCCCAAAAAGACAGGTGAGATTCCTGAGAAAGCATTCTTTGTCTCTAGGAGAAGAGCAGCTGCTGCAGATACAGTAAGAAACTCTGAAATCCCAGCACTGTGGGAGGCTGAGGTGAGTGGATCACCCGAGGTCAGGAGTTCGAGACCAGCCTGACCAACGTGGTGAAACCTTGTCTCTAATAAATACAAAAAATTAGCTGGGTGTGGTGGCGGGTGCCTGTAATCCCAGCTACTTGGGAAGCTGAGGCAGGAGAATCGCTTGAACCCGGGAGGTGGAGGTTGCAGTGAGCCGAGATTGTGTCACTGCACTTCAGTCTGGGCGAGAGTGAAAACTCTGTCTCAAAAAAAAAAAAAAAAAAGAAAGAAACTCTGGCAGGACCCTTATTCCCTATCGTCCTTTTCCCTTCTACTGAATGAAAGCAGAGAAAGGACAAAACAATGACCATTACCTTTGGGGCTCTGGTGAAAACCCTTTACACCTGGGGAAAATAGAAGTAATAGAAGTAAACCTGCCCTTGGGGGCGGGAGCATGTTGGGTCACAGATTGGAGGAGACTAACGAAGCAGGACATCTAAATACATCTTTACCTTGTGGAACAGAAAAAGAACATGATTTAGGCAAGACACCTGCCTAAATAACTGATCATTACTCTTCAAAAGTATCAAGTGTCAAAGACAAGGAAAGACTTAGGAATTATGACAGATCGGAGGAGACTAGGGAGGCAGGAACCTAGATACTTTCTATGTATTACTGTGGTGATGTCAATGTTAAGGGAAGCTGAGTGAAGGGGTAGATGGGAATCCTCTGTGCTATTATTGTGACTTTTATGTAAGTGTAAAATTATTTTAAAATCAAAGGGGAAAACATTGTAGGCCCCCCTTTTAAACTGCTGCCTGAGATAGTCTATAAGAACAAAGTTCTTGCCTTCAATTATTGGAGATTGAAATTTGTAACTTTTAGTTCACTTTAGGAAAATTAGGTTCTTTTTTTGTTTAAGTCCATGTTTCCATGAAGGAAGATTAGGTTCTTTTTCAACTTTCTTCTATTGTTGTATAGTTTTTTTTTTTTTCAAATAAGAAAGAATGGTTCATAGTTTTTCTCCCGACACATTTCATAGCCTTTATATTTTCTCTCTCAAGTGGGTGAAGGAAATTTGAATATGTAACTACTACCCACTGAAAGCTTCTGGTTTAATAATTTTAAAAAAACTTGCCACCTATTTCCAACCCATGTTTTCATTACTGACCCAGGAAATGTTGAGTAACAACTATGTGAGAAGTACTGTGCTGGAACCCGTGATACAAAGACTATTAAGGTCAGTGTCTGCCCTCGATAAACCTTCAGGGAAATGTAGCAAAAACTCTAATAGAGGGAAATTCAAATGCCACGTGGGACATTCTAATTAATGTAGCTTCATTTAGCGTGTTTTGTCCAGTTTCCTTGTATCTTCTCCTTGGAATTCTTGGAATTCTTGTATCTTCTCCTTGGAATTCTTGGAATTCTTGTATCTTCTCCTTGGAATTCTTGGAATTCTTGTATCTTCTCCTTGGAATTCTTCTATCATTTAGAGTCTCAACGCTATTACTCTTCCCTTATTCCCCCTTCCTCATTCAAGCTATTTTGGAATTCTCAGGAGTTCCTGATGTTTTCCTAACTTAGAGAAAAGCAGTGGCTTTGTCCTGACTGTTCCTTATCTAGTATTACAGTTACTCAGAATACCTCTTTGCGTAACACACTACCCTTACCAAAGAAGCTTCAGAGTCTGAATATAAAGTTTTCACTTAACATTTTGCTGCTTTGTTTTGTTTATTCCATGGTCTCTTCATAGAATAAAACAGTTAACTTATGAAATCCGTGAAACCTCTTTGGAAAAAAATGTATATACATTTTGCAATAATTTCAGATAATCACAAACACATTCTTTAAAAAAAAATAATTTCAACTTTTATTTTAGATTCAAGGAATACATGTGCAAGTTTGTGGCATGGGTATATTGTGTAATGCTGAGATTTGAAATAGGGATGATCCTGTCACCCAGGTAGTGAGCATAGTACCCAATAATTTTTCAATCCTTGCCTCCTCCTTTCCTCTTCTCCTTTAATAGTCACCAGTGTCTATTGTTGCCGTCTTTATGTCCAGCAGTACCAGTGATTAGCTCCCACTTATAAGTGTGAACTACATGTTATTTGGTTTTATTGTTTTGCATTAATTTGCTTAGGAGAATAGCCTCCAGCTGTTTCCATGTTGCCGCAAAGGACATGATTTTGTTCTTTTTTTATGGCTAAGTATTCCATGGGGAGCAGAATACTATTCCACACACACCCCATGTTTTCTTTATCTAAACCACTATTGATGTACACCTAGGTTAGTTCCGTGTTTTTTGCTATTGTGAGTAGTGCTGCAACAAACATATACGTACATGTGTCTCTTTGGTAGAACAATTTCTTTTCTTTTGGATAGATACCTACTAATGGCATTGCTGGGTCAAATGGTAGCTCTGTTTCAAGTTCTTTGAGAAATCTCCAAACTGCTTTCCACAGTGGCCGAACTAGGTTACATTCCCACTAACAGTGGATAAACGTTCCCTTTTCTCTGCAGCCTCGCCAGCATCTGTTCTGTTTTGACTTTTTAATAAAAGCCATTCTGACAGGTGTGAGATGGTATCTCATTGTGGTTTTGATTTGCATTTCTCTGATGATTAGTGATGTGGAACATTTTTTCATGTTTGTCTGCCGCTTGTGTGTCTTCATTTGAGAAGTGTCTATTCATATATTTGCCCATTTTGTATTGGGGTCATTTGTTTTTTGCTTGTTGAATTAAGTTCATTATAGATTTTGGATATTAGACCTTTGTCGGATGACAAATAGACAAATTCACAGTTTGTGAATATTTTCTCCCATTCTATATGTTGTCTGTTTACTCTGTTGATAATTTCTTTTGCTGTGCAGATGCTCTTTATTTTAATTAGGTTCCACTTGTCAATTTTTGTTTTTGTTGCAATTGCTTTTGAGGACTTAGTCACACATTCTTTTCTAAAGCTGATGTCCAGAATGGTGTTTCCTAAACCAATCCTTTAGAAGAATGGTTTTCTTCTAGGATTCTTGTAGAATGTGGTCTTATATTTAAATCTTATCCATCTTGACTTAATTTCTGTACATGATGAAAGGTAGAGGTCCAGTTGTATTCTTCTGCATATAGGTAGCCTATCCCAGCACCATTTATTGACTAGAGGGTCCTTTCCCCATTGCTTATTTTTGGTGACTTTGTTAAAGATCAGATGCCTGTGGGTGTGCAGCTTTATTTCTGGGTTCTCTGTACTCCATTGGTCTATGTGTTTGGTTTTGTACCAGTTCTATGCTGTTTTGGTTACTGTTTGGCCTTATAGTATACTTTGAAGTTGGGTAATGTGATGCCTCTGGCTTTGTTCCTTTTGCTTAGAATCGCTTGGGCAATCCTTTGGGCTCTTTTTGAGTTCTATATTTTAGAATAATTTTTTCTAATTCTGTGAAAAATGATGTTGGTAGTTTGATAGGCATAGCGTTGAATCTGTAGATTGCTTTGGGCAGTATGGCTATTTTATTTTATTTATTTTTTCGAGACGGAGCCAGCCTTGCTGTGTCACCCAGGCTGGAGTACAGTGGCACGATCTTGGCTTACTGCCATCTCTGCCTCCTGAATTCAAGCAATTCTCCCGCCTCAACCTCTTGAGTAGCTGGGATTACAGGCGCGTGCCAGCATGCCTGGCTAATTTTTGTATTTTTAGTAGAGATGGGGTTTTACCATGTTGTCCAGGCTGGTCTCAAACTCCTGACCTCAAGTGATCCTCCCACCTTGGCCTCCCAAAGTGCTGGGATTACAGGCGTGAGCCACCGCGAGTGTGGCCATTTTAGTGATATTGATTCTTCTAATTCATGAGCATGGAATGTTTTTCCACTTGTTTGTGACATCTCTGATTTCTTTCAGCAGTGTTTTGTAGTTTTCCTTGTAGAGATCTTTTACCTCTTTGATTAGATGTATTCCTAGATATTGGTGTGTGTGTCTATTGTAAGTGAGATTGTGATCTTAATTTGACCCTCAGCTTGAATGTTATAGGGGTATAGAAATGCTGATTTTTGTATACCAATTTTGTATCCTGAAACTTTACTGAAGTCATTTATCAGTTCCAGGAGTCTTTTGGCAGAGTCTTTAGGGTTTTATAGGTATAGAATCATATTGTCTGCAAAGAGAGAGAGTTTGACTTCTTTTCCTGTTTGGATGCCTTTTATTTCTTCCTCTTGCCTGATTGCTCTGGCTAGGACTTCCAGAAATGCATTCTTAAGCTTATCTATTGATCTAGGATAGATCCATTGAACCTGCTTTGGCCAAAAATTAAGTATCAACTTAACCTTGATTATTTCTTATCATATTAGTAATTAATTTGAGGGAGTGATCATGATAATTCAAACACTGAAAACTTATTAAAAAAAGCTTTCGGAATGTTTTGTAATGATGAGTGTGACTGTGAAGTATACAGCAAGATCACTGTAAAATAGAAGGCTGCCTTTAGAGTAGGAATATGCTTTAGATAATAGTCTGCCATCAGTTAGGCAGTCAAGACCAAGCGAGCGAGTGGAGTCTTACAGTCTGTTACACAGAGAAGTCTTCCAGTATATTTAAAACTCAACCTCACATCGTGAACTGAAGATTTTCTTTTAAAGTGAACATGAGTAAACTCATTAAAGAGAATCTCCTGCTGTTTCTTGACACTGTGCAGATTACATATTTTGGATTTTTGATAAACTTTATTTCCTGGATGATCTCTCTTTCTGGGTGCCCTCTAATTAACTTTTATAAAGCACCAAACACCACCTCTCCACCTCCTTTAAAATCTTTTTGTGAGAACAAGTGGAATGATTAACTTTCTAATTGATGTATGGTGGTGTAGCTATCTAAAATACTTTCATTAAAGCAACTTAATTTTTTAAAGATAGCCAAGTTAAATATGTAATCACTCTCTAGAGTAATTAAAATGAAAGAATGGATATAATTAGAAATTGTGTTTGTCTTTTTATAGGATGTCACATAACTGATAGTTCTGCTATTATGCAGTGGAAAATAAATGGTTCTGATAGTTTCCTTGGAGAAAGTGCTAGAGAGGTAGTACTTTCACACATGTAGTCCAATCTAAGTTTGGCATAATTGTTAGATTACTCTTGTTTGTCTTATCTGCAATTATTCAGTGAGATTTTTAAAAAATACATGTCTATTGAGTTGCCAGACTATATACTTTTTTCCAGAGTATAGTCAGATATGTCGGATTTTAGGAATGGAATGATTTTCCCAATTCCTAAAATAAATAAAAGTTAGAGTTTTTTCATGGCTCTTTCTATTATAAAATATGGAATCCTTTTTAAGAAAAGAATTGAGTCAAAATGAAATTTGAGATTGAACTTGTTGCCTAGAGTTAAACAGATTGTTGCAGAAATGGAGAGTAATTTGTATAGCAGATATATGTAAAGTTGCTCCTTTTATTTATTTATTTGTTTTTTGAGATGGGATCTCACTGTGTTGCCCAGGCTGGAGTGCATTGGTGGCATCTCAGCTCACTGCAACTTCTGCCTCCTGGGTTCAAGCGATTCTGCTGCCTCAGCCTCCCCCGAGTAGCTGGGACTGCAGGCGCACACCAGCATGCCTGGCTGATTTTTGTATTTTTAGTAGAGATAGGGTTTCACCATGTTGGCCAGGCTGGTCTCGAACTCCTGGCTTCAAGCCATCCACCCACCTTGGCCTCCCAAAGTGCTGGGACTACAGGTGTGAGCCACCTCACCTGGCCTAAAGTTGCTCCTTTTAGCAAGAGGTCATACAAAAGGTGTGGCTTATTTGCATACCTTTTCATCAAATTTTGCTGAGCTGTGTATTTGCTGGATTTTTAATTGGGTTCTTTTTCTTAAAAAGTTAGCATTGTAATTAAAGCAAAAGATCAATTTGTGTGAGGTAACAAATTAGTTATGCTTGTTGAATGTAAAAATCCTATGTGTGCGTTTATTGTTTTTTTCTTTTTTTTGATTAAGATACATATTTTTGTATTGGATCCAGCCTATTCTTTGTAGATACTATTTTTCTTCCCTTACATTTGGTGATTTTTCCTGTTTATCTGGTTAACTTCTTAGCTCAAAAGCAATCTTTTCTAAGCATCCTTTTCTGACCTCCCTGTGTGGACTACCCCATCCTTGCTAGTCCATGTGTACTGCTTTCAGCCAGCTCATCAATAATCTAAATCTCAGGGGTTATGTTTCAGTTCTTATTCTATCTTGCTGTGAAACTGGTCAGTATTAACTTCTCTCTTTTCTTACATACTCTTTTCCCACGTTCCTGGTTTTCCTTCCTCTTGTTGTGTAGTTTCTGCTGCTTTTTCTACATAAGCTCCTTCTCTTCTGCTCATTCCACTAATGTTGACGTTCCTCAGGTAATTTCTCTGGGCTCCTTTGTTTTTCTGGCATGTCAGATCCTCCTAAGAAAATGTCATTTATTTCATAACTTCAGTTATCATCTAGTCCTGATGACCCCCAGATAAAAACTCTTAGCTTAGATCTTTCTGTGGATTCCATACTTATATCTGGGTGGCTTCTGGGCAGTTTCAGTGAAAACTCCCTAGATGTCCCACAAGCCCCGTAAGCCCAGTGTCTGCAAACAACTCGTTAGGGATTCTTCTCCAACCTCTCTGATAATGTCATTTCTCTGCCCAAGAATGTTCAGTGTCTCTTCTTGCCTACCAAATGTGCTGGCTCCAAACTATATTTCTAGCTTTTTAGTCCACTCTGCCACATACGGCCTTCGCTCTAGTTCAACTCAAGTACTTGATTTCTACTACTGTGATCTGAAATACCTCCATGTTATTTACTCTTGCTTCTTGCCTTCCTCTCTTAAATAGATCCTCATTTCTTACAGATGCCCAGGCAGCTCTGATGTTATCTTGATGCTGGAACTGTCTCTGTTCCAGTTAGTCTATATTAATCTTTCCTTTTTCTGAGCCCCTGTATTTTATTGATATCCATTTAACAGCATTACTTCATTCCGTTTCTTGTATGATTATTTAGTACTTGCCAGTCATATCCTTGAGGCAGGAGTTACCATTTCTCGTATGATTATTTAGTACTTGCCAGTCATATCCTTGAGGCAGGAGTTACCGTTTCTCGTATGATTATTTAGTACTTGCCAGTCATATCCTTGAGGCAGGAGTTACCGTTTCTCGTATGATTATTTAGTACTTGCCAGTCATATCCTTGAGGCAGGAGTTACCGTTTCTCGTATGATTATTTAGTACTTGCCAGTCATATCCTTGAGGCAGGAGTTACCGTTTCTCGTATGATTATTTAGTACTTGCCAGTCATATCCTTGAGGCAGGAGTTACCGTTTCTCGTATGATTATTTAGTACTTGCCAGTCATATCCTTGAGGCAGGAGTTACCGTTTCTCGTATGATTATTTAGTACTTGCCAGTCATATCCTTGAGGCAGGAGTTAAGACATTTTCCCTTGTAGGACCCAGACACTGTGCCTGGCATATGGTGGATATTGCTTGTCTGACATGGTGTTTGATTGAGGGGTTGAGGAGTGAGGCCTCTGACGACTCTTTTAGTTAATATCTTTCATCTTAAGTTCTGGGAACACAGCAGGGTTGATTGCTGTTTCATTTCTCAGCCTGTGTATAGAGTCATAGCCTAGACTTATGTAGATATATGTGGGAAAGCAGTTATGGATTTTTACAACTCCAGCTGATGGCACTTCATATTTTTGTTTTATTGTAAGATGGACGTTTCCTCCTACATTTTTGACATAACTGAAATTAGGATGCGTCCTACATTTGAAGGCCTCTTAAGATGATACTTGGCAGTGCTATACTGTTTTTAATGGTATCTTTAATAATGGCATGTCTTACAATCCATAGCATCTTACATTTGATGAATTTTAGTAAGTTATACCATAAGGTTATATCTTGATTCCCTTTCTTAGAGTTGTATCACCCAAGAGTATCACTGGTTGCAGTGGACAGTGTGGCTTCTACTCAACATTCTTTCCAATCCAGCTCATTACATGGCAGTTTTGCAGGTTTGGTGGGGTAGACTTCCCTTATTACTGTACCTGTGGTGGGTTCCCATTGGCATAGATAACTCTGGGCAACCTTATTCCCTGTCTACGGTGGTTGGTTCTGTGGTGGGAACAATACCTGATCTGTCCTATTAAAGTGAGACTCAGAGCTTTTGTTTGGTAGGAAGGAATGCTTGTGCTCTCCCCTTTTATATGAGTACAGGGTAGTTCCAGGACCCATTGGCATCTATAATATTCCTGACGGGGAGCCAGACTGAGCTGCAAGCTAGCTCTGGAAGAGGGCAGAGCAGAGGGAACTGGAGAGAAAGGAGTCACAGCCTGAGAAGCCATCACGAGGCAGCAGAGCATCGGCGGTTAAGAGCATGGGCTGTGGTGTAGATTGCATGGGTTTGAATCAGCAGTTAAGAGCATGGGCTGTGGTCTAGATTGCGCGGGTTTGAATCAGCAGTTAAGAGCATGGGCTGTGGTCTAGATTGCACGGGTTTGAATCAGCAGTTAAGAGCATGGGCTCTGGTCTAGATTGCACGGGTTTGAATGCCAGCTCTGCTACTCACTAACTGTGGCATGCTGGGCAAATGTAATAGATGCTCTCTGTACCTTTAGATAATTTCCTTATCTGTAAAATGAGGATAACAACTCTCAGAAAGTTGTGGCAAGGATTAAATAGATTAATACACACAAAATGGAGAGAGCAGTACCTGACAGATAGTATTTGCTGTTGTTACTGTTGTCATTATTATTTCTAACCAACTCTGAAACCTGCCCACTATCTGGGTTTTCTTTTCTTTTTAATGCAAATCTGTTTTTTTGTTATTTGCAACTGAAAAACACCCTAACTCTTACACTGGTTAGTTAACTCTGAGACTAATTTGAATTCAACTTAAAGATAAGTATTAAGTAACTAGTTTGACTTCCTTCCCACTGCATACTTTACACAGTAGGTTAAAGGAACTCTAAAAATGTGAAAATTACTATTGCATAGACCAATTTTTTCCAGGATTGAACAAATCAATCCGAGGGTGTTTACAAGAGCTAACTGAACTACCTTCCTTCCCCCTTACTTTAACAAATAAGCACTAATAATGGTACTGGCTGTCAATTCCTACATTGTCAAGAGGTCTAAAATTTTTTTATATTTGAACATTTCATTGAGTAGATAAGCAGATATTTTCAGTTACTTTCAGTCATGTAGATATCCCCCATTTTCATGTCTGTATTTGGAATTCCTCTGTAATAAGTTAAGGATTTAAGAATCTTTTAACCTTTTAAGCATACCTCTAAATTCTAAATTCTTCTTCTGCTTTACTTTTTTTTTCTCTTGAGACAAGATCTCACTGTATCACCTACGCTGGAGTGCAGTGACACAGTCATGGCTCATCGCAGCCTCAACCTCCTGGGCTCAAGCCATCCTCCCACCTCAGCTTCCTGAGCAGCTGGGACTATAGGCATGCCTGGCTGATTTTTAAAATTTTTGTAGAGATGGAGTCTCCCTGTGTTGCCCAGGCTAGTCTTGAACTCCTGGGCTCAAGTGATCCTCCCACCTTGGCCTCCCAAAGTGTTGCGAATACAGGCATGAGCCACGACACCTGGCCTGCTTAATCTTTCTTAAATGTATGTATGCTCACATTTATTTTTTTTTATTTTTTTTTTTTTTGAGACGGAGTCTCGCTCTGTCGCCCAGGCTGGAGTGCAGTGGCGGGATCTCGGCTCACTGCAAGCTCCGCCTCCCGGGTTCACGCCATTCTCCTGCCTCAGCCTCCCGAGTAGCTGGGACTACAGGCGCCCGCCACTACGCCCGGCTAATTTTTTGTATTTTTAGTAGAGACGGGGTTTCACCGTTTTAGCCGGGATGGTCTCGATCTCCTGACCTCGTGATCCGCCCGCCTCGGCCTCCCAAAGTGCTGGGATTACAGGCGTGAGCCACTATTTTAATGTTTAATATTAGAAGTCCTTTAGGTCTTTAAGTTTGGTGATAGTTCTGTGACCAGAAATATGTCAGAGGAACTTAGAAAACTCAGTGTGTTCCAATATGACATTTGCTTTCTGTAGCTAGCTTCTTTCCTTCTTTGTTTACATACCTGGATGGCTGAATGATCTAGTCGCCTTGCTTCTTGTCTACTAACTTCTCTCTCCTTGGTAGTAGTTAAAAACACACACTTTCAAAGGAGTTCAGTGGTTTCTAAAATTATTTTTATGGTATAGTAAATAGGCTCTCAAATTTACATAGAGTTTTATTGTTTATAAAATATTTTATATATATTTTCTTTTTAGGATTTCTGTAAAGTAGAGAGGGCAGACATTATTTTATCCTGTTGTAGATGAACAAATAATGGCTTCTAGTTAATGTAATATGGTGGTGACATATATAGAAACATATGATTTTCCTCTCAGAGTTAAAGTATCAAATAATCAGCACTTTACTTTATTAGGAAGACACTAAGAATATTCCCACAAAGGTTGGGACCATTGTACTGGCAGTATTAACAAAAGCACTTGACAGGAGGAAACAGTTGGAGGCATTGTAATTGGAAAATGATTTCTATCTGCAGCTCATATGACATTTTACTTAAAAAAACCCTAGTAAATCAATGATAAAACCTTACTCAATGAACCTCAGAAAACATTATGCTAAGTGAAAGAAGCCGGACATAAAAGACCGCATGTCATATGATTCGTTATGTAAAATATCCACAACAGGCAAATCTATATAGACAGAAAGTAGATTAGTGGCTGTGTAGGGCTGGGAGGTCGAGATGGGGTAGGGATAGGGAGTAACTCCTAATGGGCCTAAAGGTTTCTTTTTGGGGTGATGAAACTGTTCTAAAATTACATTGTGGTGATGGCTGTACAGCTCTCTAAATATACTTCAACCCATTGAATAGTACATTTAAAATCAGTGAATTTTATGGCATGTAAATGATTTCTCAATAAAGTCGTTAAAAAATCCCAACTCAGTAAAATAACTCAATAGGGTAATAGGTATGATAAAATTAACATGGAAAAATCAAAAGCCTTCATAAATGTAAACAATAATGAGTTAGAAGGTATAAGGAAGGCTGGTCCAAAGGTCCAACTGAGTTATCTCAATTGACTTTTCAGTCAGTTATAGATTAAACTCCTTGTTCTAGTCTTTCTCCACTTGTTACTACTGCGCTTGACTAGTCTTAAAAAAAAAGAGATATAATCGAAGAGAAAACCCCATTTACAATAGCAAGAAAAAAAGATAAAATACTCAGCAATTAAACTTTAAAAATGTACAAAACTTACAGGAAGAAAACTTTAAAGCACTCCTGAAAGGCCCGAAAGTAGAACTGAACAAAACTAAAGGCATCCCTTGTTCTTGGACGAAATGGCATCATTCTGAAGGATGGCATTAAAGTAATCAAGGATTTGAGTGCAAGTAGTTTATTAGGGAGATGATCCCAGGAAGCACCTGTAAAGAGCTGAGTAAGTAAGACAGAATGAAGCCACTACAGGGTATGCTAATGAACAGGCCGCAACTATTGGCAACTGAAGCTCAATCCCATTGGGTACTTTTGTGAAGCTACATGGAATCTACCTCATAGTTATCTTACCTGAGGGCAAAGAAGCGGGAGTATTTATTCATTCACTCTTGTCCAGCTCTGGTTTCTGGCCTGTCTCAGCAAGCTCCCAGCCAGTGAACACTCTCAGGCAGAGAGTGGCTGTGGCTTACTGTAGAAAGCCTTAGGCATGTAAGAGAATGGTGAGTGCTGAGCTTATGTTACAGTGGCGTTCCAAGGATCTGTGCTGTGGAGATGTAGAAGATACTCCAGTTACAGACCAAACTGAGGAGATGGATGTACTCTGTGGTCTTTGTTATCTAGGTTGGTGTTGTATCTCCGGTACCAGGAGAGCTGTGGTCGTTTCTGAATGGAACCATATGTGGGTGGGGGTAACTTTGCGGTTTCTGGTGTGTGTTGAAAAAGTTTTGGGGTTCCTCTACCACTCACCGCATGTGCTTTGCCCATGGTCACTCAGAAGTCTGGACTGGCACTTTGGAAAGAGATCTGACCTAGTCTTGCTGTGACCAGTTTTACATTGAGCCTGGGGTTTTTGCCGATTAAATAGAATCAAGTAGGATAAATGGCAACATCAATAAGATAATTATTTATTTTTACAAAGTAAGCAATATTATTTTGCTCCATTTATCTCCGCCAATATGAATTCTATCATAGTTAGTACTTGATTACTATTATCGCTATGTAAAGTATATAAGAAATTATATAAAGTATAATTACATTTTTGCAAGTGGGTATGTTGATGTGACAACTTTTTGCATGTTGATAAAAAAGCTGTAGCATATATAAGATAAACATAATGGTTCCATGAACCAAAGATGATAAAACGATTTTGCAAATAACTATTTGACTTAATTTTCTTTTTACAAATCCTCAACTGCTATTTTTATTTGGCGATGTCTAGTAGTTCAAAAACTTATTTGAGTGAGAAGATATTATCAGTAAACTAGTTGGCTAATTAAAGTTAATTTTTTAATTTTGAAAATCATACACAGCTATTTTATGACAGATGGAAAGGAAAGCAATGTAGAATGACCATATTACAGTAAATCATCTGTGAAAACTTCAGGCAGACATTTATATCAATTAGTAAAGATGTTGGTTTTCAGCTTTATTCCCAACAGATGCACTAACACAGACCAGCTTAAATATGTTGCTTGGTAGGCATTTTTCTTGCCATGTTTTAGTAAGTTTACTTATTTATTTATTTTTTTAATTTATTTTTGTTGTTTTTGTCCTCTCTTTTTCTGTCTTCCTTTGAGTATTTATTAATATTCCATTTTATCTCTTCTGTTGACTTGTTAGCTATACTTGTTTGTTTGTTGTTGCTTTTGGTTTAAAACATCTATCTCTAACTCATCATAATCTACTGTAAAATAATATAAATTTAATATATAATGTAAGAACCTTACAATAGTTTACTTCTATTCTCCCCTCCTATTTTCTGTGCTATTTTATCATGCATTTTACTTGTACGTGTTATAAACCCCACGGTACATTGTTACAACATTTCTAGCACTCTTCATTTCTTTGTATTCATCTGTTTCCAGCTGGTATCCTTTCTCTTTAACCTGAAGAACTTCCTTAAAAATTTCTAGCTTTAGGTCTGCTGGTACCCAATTCTTCTTGCATTTGTCTGGAATTTTTGTTTTGCCTTTATTTTTAATGATTTTTCTGCTAGATATAGAATTCTGGCTTGACTTTTTGTTCTGTCTTTCATCACTTTAAAGATGTTCCATTGTCTCCTGGTTTGCACTGTTTCTGGGGGAAACTTCTGTGGCAAAGTTTCTACAGTGGTCTATAAGATTCTACTTGTTCTGAAACTTAGACTTCAACCTCATTTTCTTCTCCCTCCCTCTTTTAAACAGGCTGCTTACCTGCTCCCTATTTTCTCATTTATTGTCTAGTCTTTGGGGACCACTCTTCTACTGGATTTCTTATAGTGCAGGCTATCTTTTTTTTTATTTTTTTGAGATAAAATATATTGCCCAGCTTAGTTTTAAACTCCTGGCCTCAAGCAATCCTCCTGCCTCAGGCTCCTGGGTAGCTGGGGCTGCAGGTGTGCGTCTCCACATCTGACTACTTTAAAACATTTTTTTAGAGGTAGGGTCTTGTTATGCTTCCCAGGCTTGTCTTGAACTCCTGGACTCAAGTGATCCCACCATCTCATCCCCTCTAGGAGGTGGGATTACAGGCACAAGCCACTGCTCCTGGTTCATGCAGACCATCTTATGAGATGGTAGTCTGTGGCTGCTCTCTGTGTACTTATAATACCTTCTGTTCTGCACTTGTTTTCCTTCTGACTCTATTTTTCTTTTCTTTTTCTTTTTTTTTTTTTGAGTTGGAGTCTCACTCTATTGCCCAGGCTGGAGTGCAGTGGCGCGATCTCGGCTCACTGCAACCTTCGTTTCCCGGGTTCAAGTGATTCTCCTGCCTCAGCCTCCTGAGTAGCTGGGATTATAGGCATGCGCCACCATGCCCGGCTAATTTTTGTATTTTTAGAAGAGACAGGGTTTCACCATGTTGGTCAGACTGGTCTCGAACTCCTGACCTCATGATCCGCCTGCCTTGGCCTCCCAAAGTGATTGGAATTATATGCCTGAGCCACTGCGCCGGGTCATCTCACTCCATTTTCCTTCCTAACACTTACCACTGTGTGATGTATGTGTTTGTTTATTGTTTTTTTTCTTCTTTTGAATTTTAGATCTAACCAGAGAATTAATTTTGTTATTATCCTCTAGAACAGTGCCTGGCACATAGTAGGGGTTCAGTAAATATTTGTGGCCAGAAAGAAAGAAAGACTTCAGTTCATTAAAGAGGTGGTTGTAGAAATTCTGGGAGATAGAGCTATCTTAAAAAAAAATCATAATAAATATAAGAGTACTTATGAGTTCATTGTTTGAAAACATTGTAAACCAGGTGCAGTGGCTCACGCCTGTAATCCCAGCACTTTGGGAGGCTCAGGCGGGTGGATCACTTGAGGTCAGGAGTTCGAGACCAGCCTGGCTAACGTGGCGAAACCCCGTCTCTACTAAAAATACAAAAATTAGCTGGGCGTGGTGGGCTCTGGTAGTCCCAGCTGCTCAGGAGGCTGAGGCAGGAGAATCCCTTGAACGCAGGAGGTGGAAGTTGCAGTGAGCTGAGATCATGCCACTGCACTCCAGCCTGGGTGACAGAATGAGACTCTGTCTCAAAAAAATAAATTAAAAAAAAAGGCAAACATTGTAGCCTTTGTCACTAATTTTCCAGCTGACCCCGAGGAGATTATACTTTCTGAGTCTGATAAATGAAGGAATGGGATCAGGCAATATTTAAAGTCCTATCCAACTATAATATATATATTTATCTATTTATTCTAAACAAGATCCTAACAAGGCCTCTTCCTTAGTTGTCTGTGCAAAAATCCATTTTAATCAGGTTAAATATGTAGTAGAGAGATTATGTCATTTTCCTATGCAAAAATCTTTGCCCTAGTATTCTTTGATCTGTGGCTTATCATCAAAGGGCCTTCACAGTGTCATGCTATTCTGTCTCCGGTATTCCATGTCACCATTCCTTACTTGTGATGGTTAACTGGGCTAAGGGATGTCTAGATAGCTGGTATAATATTACTTTTGGTTGTATCTGTGAGAGTGGTCCGGGAAGAGATGAGCACTTGAATGTGCAAACTGGTAAAGATCACCCTCATCAGTCTATTGAGGGCATGAGTAGACCAAAAAGGCAGAGGAAAGGTGAATTTGCTCTCTCCCTTTTGAGCTGGCACATCCATCTTCTGCTCTTGGCGCTCTTGGTTCAGGGGCTTCTGACTCAGATTCAGTCCCCCAGCTTTCGAGTGTGTTCTGTTCCTCACATTGCACTTGATGTTTGGGGCTTTGAGCTCAGCTTCCCTCTCCCTGAGCAGTAGCTCAGCTGTAGGCCTTTCTGAGCTGCTTTTAGACTTAATCATCTCTTCTATTTTACTGTTTTTAATTGCTTTGTATTATTTTCAAATACCTCTGAATTATTGTAGATGGTTTTTAGTCTTTTTCTGTTTTTTCTTTTTTTAGTATTTTAAGTCTTATAAATATTGCCTTTAATATAGACCTGGGGGCTCTGTGACTTACAATAAAATAATGAAATGACATTAGAACTTTCATTTTAAGGTCATCTTGTTTTTTTGCTTATTTCTTTCATGGATTTGAAGGTCACCTTTTCTATTTTATTTTGTTACATTTTACTGCCTTTAATATTTTACAAAATACAGTGGGGGTCTTGAGATCTTTTTATTAAAATTCTTTTGGTAACTTTTACTGGTTTACAGAATTAGTAATGGCACTTTATTTTTTTTTTAAAAGGATCTTGTCAAGCTATTTATTCTTTGTTGTAAGGTAAATAAAAGTGGTACAACTGCTTTAGCCTTATTGGTAGTTTTGTGTAATACAATGAAACATAATATAATGTTAGTAGATATTAAAGAAGCTTCTTCCTTAAACATCTGTTGTTTCATCAATATGAGACATGCTAAATGTAATTAGTAATTTCGATTATTCCTTGCCAGTTAATGATGCAAACAGTGTTGACCCTTACCTATCAGATAAAAATATACAGTGTAAACATTAGAGAAGAATAGCTATTTGAGGAGTTTAGAGTTTATTTCTTTATAGGATATTATACTTTTACAAGGCTATGTGTTGACATATAGTAACTGGACTGCCTAGAAAGATCTGTCTTATAAAAATAGTCATACTTCAGCACCCAGACAAAGAAAAAGGTAAAGTTCATCAATTACTGCATTAATCCCTCCAAACTGGGTTGGTTATCTTTCCAGCTAATGATTTTTTGCCCTGCTCCACGGCAATTTCTCTTCCCTAACCTATGCTATAATTTTAGTGGGCACTACCTTTCTTGTTAACATTTCCATTTTAATACTTTTTTGAAGATTTATCTTGAAAGGTTTTTATTAGTGGGCATTTGCTATATTAGAACAAGCCAAAGATCAGATATTTTTGGGCAGTTGAATCTTTCACCTGCGTAGGAAATCATGCCAAATATAAGACTATCTTCTCTGTCCATTCATAAACTTTCTCTAGATAAGGTCATGAATTCTTGGAAATAAAACTGTTGTTCTTCACATATTCTCTCCAAACTGTTAAATTATTTACAAACGAACCTTGGATGATGATGATTTCAGCTTGACTGAATTATCATTGACTGCAGTGGGCTTTAGGAAGTAGGTGCTTAATACATGTTTATTGCGTGCTGTGAAGTCACTGTGCCTTTAATTATTTTATTTACTTCCAACCCCAAGCTGTAGGAGCAGTCTCTTGCATGATGGAGTCAGTTTTCTTTTTGCTGTACTTTCAGTTCAACTTCATCTTCTAAACTCCTCATCGAGTGGTTTATGTATTAGCTTCTTATTGATGCTATATCAAGTCATGACAGACTTTTTTTTTTTTTTTGAGACAGTCTTGCTCTGTCGCCCAGGCTGGGGTGCAGTGGCACAATCTCAGCTCACTGCAACCTCCACCTCCTGGGTTCAAGTGATTCTTCTGCCTCACCCTCCCGAGTAGCTGGGACTACAGGCATGTGCGACCACACCTGGCTAATTTTTATATTTTTAATAGAGACGGGGTTTCACCGTGTTAGCCAGGATGGAGAAGTCTCGATCTCCTGACCTCGTGATCCCCCTGCCTCGGCCTCCCGAAATTCTGGGATTACAGGCATGAGCCACAGCTCAAGTCGTGACAGACTTTTTAGCTGAAAACAGTGGTCCCCAACCTTTTTGGCACCAGGGACTGGTTTTGCGGAAGATAGTTTTTCCAGGGATATAGAGTGAGGGGGGCGGATGGTTTCTAGATGAAACTATTCCACCTTGGATCATCAGGTATTAGATTCTCATAAGGAGCATGCAACTTAGATCCCTGCCATGTGCAGTTCACAATAGGGTTAGTGGTCCTATGAGAATCCAGTGCCACCACTGACTGTGATACGGGAGTGCTGGGAAGGGAAGAGTGTGGTCCCTTTAAATGATGAGGAAGGGGGTAAGGGAAGTGCTGGGTAGAGGAGGGCATGGTCCCTGGCTAGGGCGCTACCCCCATCGACCTAGGTGAGGACAAGCACTTCTGCCTTTGCGCCCAAATGTTGCATTTTCCAAGACTACCCTGGTCTACCACGCCCCCATCCTGGGCCTATAAAAACCCAAGACCCTAGCAAGGCACAGACAGAAGCAGCTGGAGGGTGAGAGGAACACATTGGTGGAAGAAGACAAGTGGCCGGACATCGGGAGGACGTGGAGGGTGTCACACGTGTCCATGTGAAGAGACCACCAAACAGGCTTTGTGTGAGCAATAAAGCTTTTTAATCACCTGGGTGCAGGCGGGCTAAGTCTGAAAAGAGAGTCAGCAAAGGGTGGTGGGATTATCATTAGTTCTTATAGGTTTATCTTATAGGTTTATCCCTATAAGAACTTATCTATAGTTCTTATAGAGATAGGCGGTGGAGTTAGGAGCAATTTTTGCTAGTGGGGGGTGGATCTTACAAAGTACATTCTCAAGTGTGGGGAGGATATTACAAAGGATATTACATTCTCAAGGGCGGAGGAATATCACAAAGTCCATTATCGCAAGGGCGGGGAGGGGGTATTGTCACAAAGTCAATTGATCACTTAGGGTGGGGAGGGAACAAATCACAATGGTGCAATGTCATCGGTTAAGGCAGGAACTGGCTATTTTCAGTTGTTTTGTAGTTCTTCAGTTGCTTCAGGCCATCTGGATGTATACGTGCAGGTCACGGGGGATATGATGGCTTACCTTGGGCTCAGAGGCCTGACAAAGGGGAGCACGCAGGCAGAAGAGCACAGCAACAGATGCCAGCACGCTGGGAGGCCGTCGGCCAGCAGAACGACGTGGAGTTTGGCTGGGACGGTTGGAGGAGAGCCCAGGTCACCGAGCGCCCGACTCCGGGAGAAAACCATTTCCCTTCTGGCTCCCCCATCTGCTGAGAGCTACTTTACTCAATAAAACCTTGCACTTATTCTCCAAGCCTACATGTGATCTGATTCTTCCAGTTCACCAAAGCAAGAAACCCCAGGATATAGAAATCCCTTTGTCCTTGTGATAAGGAAGGGGGTCTAATTGAGCTGACTAACACAAGCTGCCTACAGACGGCTAGATTAAAAGAGCACCTTGTAACACATGCCCACTGGGGCTTCAGGAGCTGTAAACATACACCTCTAGACACTGCCATGGGGTCCGAGCCCCACAACGTGCCCATCTGTATGCTCCCCCTAGAGGTTTGAGCAGCAGGGCGCTGAAGAAGCAAGCCACTCCCTCTGTGGCAGAGGGGGACAAGGGAACCTTTACTCTACTTTCTCTTCATGTTTCTTATAAGTGGAACCATATAATATTTGTCGGTTTATCCGTCTTGTAGCATGTGGCAGAATGTCTGTTGCTTTTTGGTCTTAGAGAGTATAGGTGTGAAGATAATTTTTCCTCCCCCTCTGGCTCTGAAATTTGAAAGTGCTGAAATGACCTGACATTAGACTGATTAACAGGGGAAGAGGCATATAAATGTATTAATGTGCAGAAGCACAGGGGCCACACAGTATATGAGACTCAGAGAACTGAAACCACCTTGCTAAGGTTATGATGGTTAGAGAAATCCAACACAGCTGACTTTATCTTGCTTCTGACCCCAGAAGCTGACTATCTGCTCATTCCTGGGTGTAGGTCAAGCTAACTAAAAAGGAGTTTAGTTTACAGTTTAACTTTAAAGCAAGGATGATAATAGTCCCTTCCTGAAACTGGTCCCCTTCTTGCTTGGGAACTGAAACTGCATTTGTAAAACTAATGAAAGTCAATAAGATTAGAATTATGATAAGGGCCTGAATTCTGCTAAGTAATAAGCACAGTGAAGAAGAGATAACCAGCCATTGTTCCCTAGCTTGGTTACTGCTGGAGGTCACAAGATTTGAGATAACATCACCACTGTAAACCCTAAGATGGGTTTTTGAGATATTTTTCAGACCTTTGCATTCTGGTAAACTGACTGATGCCATCTGGACCATGACTCATACCAAGGAACAGACTCAACTCGTCCTGTGACCCCCACCTAGAAACTGACTCAGCACGTGAAGACAGTTCCAACACTCCAGTGATTTCATCTCCAACCAATCAGTAGCATACATTCCCTGGCCCTCAGCTTGCCAAATTATCCTTAAAAACCCTGGGCTCCAAGCTTTCGAGGAGGTGGATTTGAGAGATACCTCCCCTCCTTCTGCTCAGCTGCCTTGCAGTAATTAAACTCTTTCTCTGCTGCAACACCCCTACTGTTCTCCGTGTATTGGCTTTTCTGGGCAGCAGGTAAGAAGAACCTGTTGGGCTGTAACAGAAAGGCCAGATAGCCACAGCTTAAATGGCACTCTCTTTCTAGCAGTCAGGGAGATGGGGGAATATAGGCAATTTTGGGGGATAGTGATTTTAGGAGAGTTTAATGGATCCAAGGAGCAGACAGTAGTTTGTAAATGGTTCTCTTTGGAAACTGAATGGGACCCACAAGTTATGGGAAGTTGAGGGAGGAACTGTAGGGTGAACAGAGGTTGTTGTATTATGCAGTTGAAGTCTCTCGGGTAATGTCTCAAAGCTGCCCTCTGAAGAACAGACGAACAGTCTGTCTGGTCTTGGCAATGACTTATTATAGATTCTTTTCTTCTCAGGTTAATCTTTCCTGGTAATTTAATGAGATTTCTGGGGAGGAGGTTTAAGAGAATTGTATTTCTTAAGGAAAAAGTTTCCTTAGTCTGATAAGGAAATTCCAGAGAGAGCCCCTCTCTGTGCTTTGGGAGTTGGAGAGATACAGGAGAAGGTTACAGAGTCCTTGGTTCTGAGGCAGCTTCTAAGGTCTTCTGTTTTTTTAAAATTCGGAAGTGCCCAGCATATGAAAGCACCATACTTCAGGATATCATTTTCTGAGCCCCAATAATAGTCATAGTAATTTTCTGCTGAAAACGTTTGTATGATTTTCAATGCAAAAATGAATTCTTTATTTTCCCCCTTTACTTTCATTTTATATGACCTTAGTAAAAGTTTTTTTTTTTTTTTTTTACTTTTCCCAGTGGACACTGTTCTAATTGTGGGCTTGTTGATTCATGCTGATGAATAGTAATTTCTTGCAAGTTATTCTGGCACATAGGGTTCATTTTTCATGTGATCTGCATAAAAATAATGGTGGTGAATACTAATCAAGTAAGAATGCAGATTTGAATACTAAGCTTCAAAGAAAAAAACTTAATTAGAACCTTTAAGTCACAGTAGTGGTCCCTCTGCAGGGAAAGTATGCTTTATTAGTTCTGTAATGTAAAACTTTTTTCTTGTTCCAACCTATAAATTGATTAGTGACACCGCATGGGTAAGAAATTGGGAGTGGGTTGGGCAGAACTGCTGTCTCATATGATGTTCTTAAGGATTGTTTATTATTACCAGTAGCATAGTTTAAACTAAAACTATTTACCCCAGGATAAAAATTTATTTGAACAGTTAAATCAAGTTTATTTCTCAAAAAATTTATTTGTGAATGCATTGTACTGTATGCAACATAGGAGATATTAATTACTTTTAATGGCAAAACCCACAGTTCCTTTTGCACCAACCTAATACAAAGAATATAAGTTCTCTAAGAACTTCCAGTCTAGTGTACTTACGTGTGGGAGTTTCTACGTACATGTATGCAGTTCAAGGCATAACATACGGAAAGTTAACTAACAGAATTAAACAGTGCAACCAGAACACCATAAAAATGACATCAGAGTTTGAGTGGCAATAGATAAATAAACTATATAGACTAGTGGTGCTCAATGTTTTTATTTTAAATGGTATAAAACCTTTTTTCTCTAAATGAAATCTTAAACTGAACCAAAAGAGTGAAAAAATGGTGAAAGCCGGGCATGATGGTGTGTGCCTGTAGTCCTGGCTACTTGGGAGGCTGAGGCAGGAGGATCACTTGAGCCCAATAGTTTGAGTCTAGCCTGGGCTGAGCATAGTTCACTGGTCTTTAAAAAAATAAGTGAGCAAAGATTATTTATTTATTTATGTAATTTTTAGTGCTGGAGGCCAGGGTTCTAGATCTAGTTCTATGAACTAGCTTTATGACCTGGGACTATTTACCTCAACTCTGGGTCAATTTCCTTGTTAGTACATGGACTAATAATGGGATTGTTGTGAGGATTAAAAATAATGGAGTAGTTAAAGCATTTAAAAACAGTCTGGGACGTGGTAAGTACGATATACATTTTATCTATTATTATTGCTGTTATATTAGAAGTGGGGGGTGAGCCCACAACACTTGCCTTTCCCTTTGCATCTCTGGGTCCTAAGCCTAGAGAAGGTAAATGCTGTAACTGTTCAGAGAAGAAAAGATCACTTAAGCTGACATGGCAGTTTTTGTAGAAAAATTGTTGACAGTGTATCTGTGTTAACAATTCCAGGGGTTTGTTAGTTTTATTATCATGTTTTGGCTATTATCTTCATTACAGTAATATGAAACAGACCTAGCTGGAATAGCTTTAAATTAAGGCAGTATTTTGTGATGGGTGCTGTTCTGCTCACCAGGATTTACCCAATGTGGATGTCAAAAACCTGGCTCCAGCCGGGCGCGGTGGCTCACACCTGTAATCCCAGGACTTTGGGAGGCCGAGGCAGGTGGATCACCTGAGGTCAGGAGTTCGAGACTGGCCTGGCCAACATGGTGAAACGTCGTCTCTACTAAAAATACAAAAATTAGCTGGGCCTGGTGGTGTGTGCCTGTAATTCCAGCTACTCAGAGGCTGAGGCAGGAGAATCACTTGAACTCAGGAGGCAGAGGTTGCTGTGAGCCGATAGCATGCCACTGCACTCTGGTCTGGGCGACAGAGCAAGACTCTATCTCAAAAAAAAAAAAAAAAAACCAGCAAAAAAACCAAAACTGGCTTCAGTTTCCTGGTATGATTTACCTGAATCAGCTGTACATTTATTTTTACATATGTATTTGTGTGTGTGTGTGCATTTATGTGTATATGAATATATATATTTTACACATATAGTATGCAGTTAAAATATATACGTAAAAGCCTTAAAAATAATGACAGTGAGAGTGATTTACATGACACCATGCATTCTAAATCTCTTGTTTCTTCCTCTAGGAAACTCAAACCTTAACCTTGTAGAGAAGAGACAGGCTTTGGTTCTATGTGGACCCTCCTCTGTGTCCCATGTGGCTGATTTGGGATGTCCAATGCTTGCTTCAGGGCTTTGCTAACTTACCAAGATAATGTTCTTAGTTTTTCCTTTCATATTTTCCAAGAAAAATCTTTAACATTTAAAAATGACTCTTTTGATTTCCTCTAATATGTCTGTCCCATCTCTCACTGCTGGCTTTATTTGTAAATAACAGTGGGTGATATCTCAGCCCTGGTGGTCTCTCTCTAAAGACTGCATTCTGTTTTGCATTTGGTAGCTATGTCTCTCTGACTGCTCTAGGGGTAGGAGGAGCCTGGATTCCAAAGAGAAAATGAATTTTCAACCAGGCACATGTAGGGATACATTTCTGTGTTGTGCTGTTATATACCACCCCTCTTTCCACCCACAGACAGAAATTTTGGGGAATTACTTTCTAATCACTTCATATTCAATATTACATTAGCCCATCAAAAGAAGATATTTAATTCGTAAGGTTAATGGTTTTGTTTTTTCGGAGTTTTAATCACTTGTGGACTAAACAAAAATCCCACTTTGATTTGCTAGTGCATTGTATTAGGCTGCTGTTGTGTTGCTATAAAGAAGTACCTGAGGCTGGGCAATTTATAAAGATAAGAGGTTTCCTTGGCTCACACTTCTGCAGCCTGTGTAGGAAGCATGTGTGGCACCTGGCATCTGCTTGGTTTCTGATGAGGCCTCTGGGAGCTTACAATCATGGTAGAAGGCAAAGCGGAGCTGGCCCGTCACATGGAGGAAGCAGGAGCTAGTGTGTGGGGGTGGGGCATCATACACTTTGAAATGAGCGTATCTTATCATGAGCACAGCACTGGGCCACGAGAGATCCTCCCCCATGACCCAGACACCTCCCTGCAGGCCCCACCTCCAACCCTGGGGATTACAATTCAGCGTGAGATTTGGTGGGGACGTATATTCAAACTATATCATGCATCCTCATGAACATAGCTATTGTTAAATCATTCTGTTGGGAATAGCGCTGTTGTGATTTCCTCAGTAATCTTTACTGATAAAAATTAGCTATTTACTCATTTTTTGCCTGGTGGATTTTAATTCTATCCGAGAGTGCCGCCTAATGATTAAGGGCATAGGTTCTGGAGTCAGGTTCCTGGATTTGAATATAAGCTGGACTATTTACTGTGTGACTTTGGGCAACCTGACTTTCTTTCTGTGCCCAATTTTCTCATTTGTAAAATGAAGCTAAATTTGGTACCTACGTCATAGGGTTATTATAAAGACTAAATGAGATACTTAGCACAGTTCTTGGTATGAAGTTAGCACTAATTATAATTACTGTAGAGTGGTAGCATGATGTAATAGAATTAGACAAATTGGGTTGTAATCCTAGCACTGGTTGAGGGTGAGGGTGGAGGTGTCTATACATGACCTTGAGCAAACTGTTTAACCTCTCTGCCTTGATTTCTTCAACCTATAAATTATGGGTAACCTTCCTTATCAGGTAATTAGGAAGATCTGGTACATACCAACATTTAAAAACTGCTACTATATTAATCTCTTCTCCCTTTCTTCCCACTTCTTTTTTTTTTTTTTTTTGAGACGGAGTCTCACTCTTGTTGCTGAGGCTGGAGTGCAATGGTGCGATCTCGGCTCACAGCAACCTCCGCCTCCCGAGTTCAAGCCATTCTCCTGCATCAGCCTCCCAAGTAGCTGGGATTACAGGCACCGGCCACCACACCCAGCTAATTTTTTGTACTTTTAGTAGAGATGGAGTTTCACAATGTTGGCCAGGCTGGTCTTGAACTCCTGACCTCATGATCCGCCTGCCTCGGCTGCCCAAAGTGTCTCTCCACTTCTTACTTCAATTTAAGAATGCTGCAAATTCAGGAAGCTTTTTAGTTTACTGAAAAAAAAAAATCAGGTAGTATTCTTTTTAACACATTAAATAGTTGTCATTCAATATGTTTTATTGGAATCTATTTTTTTCAATGGCTGAACTATTTTTAGCTGAATTACAGAAACAAATAGAAGGCATTGAAAAGAGATCAAGTATTAAAGAATGTTAAGGTTTTCTTTCTAAAGGATAATTAGGCAATGCAGTTTTGTCTTCATTAGAAGCCAAGAGGGAAGAAAGTAAAGATATGCCAGCTAGTTCAGAGAAATGAGAGAGACAGCAGTCCTGTGTTCAGTCATTGATTAGCATCGGCAACACCAGGAAGAGCCATTCAGGCTGGGAGAGGGCTACAGGAACTACTCAAGGAATTGTGAGTTTCCTTACTTAACTGAGTAGGTAAAGATGCTGAGAGGTTTGAGATGATTTGGTAGTAACAAGCCAAGATCATAGACCTTTTCTGTAGGCTCTTGGGGATGTGTGAGAAAGGTAGTTAACGCAAAGCAAGTTGGCTCAGCCAGGGAGAGGTGACAAGGGGAAGAGACAGGATAGTGGCTGCTGTACCTTAAGTTTTTTTTTTTTTTTTTTATTATACTTTAAGTTTTAGGGTACGTGTGCACAACGTGCAGGTTTGTTACATATGTATACATGTGCCATGTTAGTGTGCTGCACCCATTAACTCGTCATTTAGCATTAGGTATATATCCTAATGCTATCCCTCCCCCCTCCCCCAACCCCACAACAGTCCCTGGTGTGTGATGTTCCCCTTCCTGTGTCCATGCGTTCTCATTGTTCAATTCCCACCTATGAGCGAGAACATGCGGTGTTTGGTTTTTTGTCCTTGGGATAGATTGCTGAGAATGATGGTTTCCAGCTTCATCCATGTCCCTACAAAGGGCATGAACTCATCCTTTTTTATGGCTGCATAGTATTCCATGGTGTATATGTGCCACATTTTCTTAATCCAGTCTATCATTGTTGGACATTTGGCTTCGTTCCAAGTCTTTGCTATTGTGAATAGTGCCACAATAAACATATGTGTGCGTGTGTCTTTATAGCAGCATGATTTATAATCCTTTGGGTATATACCCAGTAATGGGATGGCTGGGTCAAATGGTATTTCTAGTTCTAGATCCCTGAGGAATCGCCACACTGACTTCCACAATGGTTGAACTAGTTTACAGTCCCACCAACAGTGTACAAGTGTTCCTACTTCTCCACATCCTCTCCAGCACCTGTTGTTTCCTGACTTTTTAATGATTGCCATTCTAACTGGTGTGAGATGGTATCTCATTGTGGTTTTGATTTGCATTTCTCTGATGGCCAGTGATGATGAGCATTTTTTCATGTGTTTTTTGGGTGCATAAATGTCTTCTTTTGAGAAGAGCAGAACTGAAGGAAATGGAGACACAAAAAACCCTTCAAAAAATCAATGAATCCAGGAGCTGGTTTTTTGAAAAGATCAACAAAATTGATAGACTGCTAGCAAGACTAATAAAGAAGAAAAGAGAGAAGAATCAAATAGATGCAATAAAAAATAAAGGGGATATCACCACCGATCCCACAGAAATACAAACTACCATCAGAGAATACTATAAACACCTCTACGCAGATAAACTAGAAAATCTAGAAGAAATGGATAAATTGCTCGACACATACACTCTCCCAAGACTAAACCAGGAAGAAGTTGAATCTCTGAATAGACCAATAACAGGCTCTGAAATTGAGGCAATAATTAATAGCTTACCAACCAAAAAAAGTCCAGGACCAGATGGATTCACAGCCGAATTCTACCAGAGGTACAAGGAGGAGCTGGTACCATTCCTTCTGAAACTATTCCAATCAATAGAAAAAGAGGGAATCCTCCCTAACTCATTTTATGAGGCCATCATCATCGTGATACCAAAGCCTGGCAGAGACACAACAAAAAAAGAGAATTTTACCCAATATCCTTGATGAACATCGATGCAAAAATCCTCAATAAAATACTGGCAAACTGAATCCAGCAATACATCAAAAAGCTTATCTACCATGATCAAGTGGGCTTCATCCCTGGGATGCAAGGCTGGTTCAACATACGAAAATCAATAAATGTAGTCCAGCATATAAACAGAACCAAAGACAAAAACCACATGATTATCTCAATAGATGCAGAAAAGGCCTTTGACAAAATTCAGCAACACTTCATGCTAAAAACTCTCAATAAATTAGGTATTGATGGGACGTATCTCAAAACAATAAGAGCTATCTATGACAAACCCACAGCCAATATCATACTGAATGGACAAAAACTGGAAGCATTCCTTTTGAAAATGGGCAAAAGAGAGGGATGCCCTCTCTCACCACTCCTATTCAATATAGTGTTGGAAATTCTGGCCAGGGCAGTCAGGCAGGAGAAGGGAATAAAGGGCATTCAATTAGGAAAAGAGGAAGTCAAATTGTCCCTGTTTGCAGATGACATGATTGTATATCTAGAAAACCCGATCATCTCAGCCCAAAATCTCCTTAAGCTGATAAGCAACTTCAGCAGTCTCAGGATACAAAATCAACATGCAAAAATCACAAGCATATATACCAATAACAGACAAACAGAGAGCCAAATCATGAGTGAACTCCCATTCACAATTGCTTCAAAGAGAATAAAATACCTAGGAATCCAACTTACAAGGGACGTGAAGGACCTCTTCAAGGAGAACTATAAACCACTGCTCAATGAAATAAAAGAGGATACAAAGAAATGGAAGAACATTCCATGCTCATGGGTAGGAAGAATCAATATCATGAAAAAAGCTATACTGCCCAAGGTAATTTACAGATTCAATGCCATCCCCATCAAGCTACCAATGACTTTCTTCACAGAATTGGAAAAAACTACTTTAAAGTTCATATGGAACCAAAAAAGAGCCCGCATTGCCAAGTCAATCCTAAGCCAAAAGAACAAAGCTGGAGGCATCAGGCTACCTGACTTCAAACTATACTACAAGGCTACAGTAACCAAAACAGCATGGTACTGGTACCAAAACAGAGAGATAGACCAATGGAACAGAACAGAGCCCTCAGAAATAATGCTGCATATCTACAACTATCTCATCTTTGACAAACCTCACAAAAAGAAGAAATGGGGAAAGGATTCCCTATTTAATAAATGGTGCTGGGAAAACTGGCTAGCCATATGTAGAAAGCTGAAACTGGATCCCTTCCTTACACCTTATACAAAAATTAATTCAAGATGGATTAAAGACTTACATGTCAGACCTAAAACCATAAAAACCCTAGAAGAAAACCTAGGCAATACCATTCAGGACATAGGCATGGGCAAGACTTCATGTCTAAAACACCAAAAACAATGGCAACAAAAGCCAAAATTGACAAATGGGATCTAATTGAACTAAAGAGCTTCTGCATAGCAAAAGAAACCACCATCAGAATGAACAGGCAACCTACAGAATGGGAGAAAATTTTTGCAACCTACTCATCTGACAAAGGGCTAATATCCAGAATCTACAATGAACTCAAACAAATTTACAAGAAAAAAAAACCCATCAAAAAGTGGGTGAAGGATATGAACCTTAAGGTTTTATACTTTAAAGACTTGGCTGGGTGCGGTGGCTCACGCCTGTAATCCCAACACTTTGGGAGACCGAAGCGGGCAGATCATTTGAGGTCAGGAGTTTGAGACCAACCTGGCCAACATGGTGAAACCCTGTCTCTACTAAAAATACAAAAATTAGCCAGGTGTGGTGGCAGGCACCTGTAATTCCAGCTACTCAGGAGGCTGAGACAGGAGAATTGCATGAACCTGGGAGGCAGAGTTTGCAGTGAACTGAGATAGCACCACTACATTCCAGCCTGGGTGAGAGAGCTAGACTCCATCTCAAAAAAAAAAAAAAAAAAAAAAAAGACTTGCTTCTGAGATAGGGATTAGGATGGGGAGAGGCCAGAACTTGATGGAGAACTCATAAATTTCATTTTTCTCTCTGTTTATCAGTAATTCTCATTACTTATCAGTAATTCCCTCACCAGAAAGCTGGTGTTAAGGACATGTAGCTCTGATTTTCCTGTATAGTAAAATATTGATAGGAAACAGCAACAGCTTATTCTGTAGACCAGTTCTTTCCCAGAGATGCCGAGCAGAGGACATCACCCCTATTAAGCACAAAACCCCTTTTTATAAACATGTATTTTGAAACACACATGCACATGCACGCACACACACACAAATGCTATCCTGAAGGGAGAGTCTTAGATAATATATAACTATTTATATAGACAGTTTCAAAATAGCAATATAATGACCCAATGAAAATATAAAGAAGAAATAAATGGAAAATTATTTATCAAATGGTGTCTATTACCTGTTGTGGTCAGAGTGTTTGTGTCCTTCCAAAATTTATATGCTGTGTGATCTTAACCCCTAAGGTGATAATATTAAGAGGTGGTGCTTCGGGGAGGTAATTAGCTCAGGAAGGCAGAGTCCTCATGAATGGGATTAGCGCCCTCATAAAAGAGGCCCAAGGGAGCTGACTTCCCCTTCTGCCAAGTGAGGACACACAGCAACACCATCTGTAAATGAAGAAACCTGCCCTCAGGTTTCTTCATTTACACTGAATGAGCAGTGAGCTCTCAGACGCTGAATATGCAGACGTTTTGATTTTTGGATTTCCCAGCCTCCTCAAGAGTGAATATATATATATAATTTATTTATTTATTTATTTATTTATTTTGAGACGGAGTCTTGCTGTTGCCCAGGCTGGAGTGCAGTGGCGTGATCTCGGCTCACTGCAACCTCTGCCTCCCAGGTTCAAGTGATTTTCCTGCCTCAGCCTCCTGAGTAGCTGGGATTACAGGCGCTTGCCACCACTCCTGGCTAATTTTTGTATTTGTAGTAGAGACGAGGTTTCACCATGTTGGCCAGGCTGGTCTTGAACTCCTGACCTCAGGTGATCCACCCGCCTCTGCTTCCCAAAGTGCTGGGATTACGGGCACGAGCCACCATGTCTGGCCGAAAAATAGATTTTTGTTGCATATAAGCCACCCAATGTGTGGTATTCTGTTATAGCAGCCTCAGCTGCCTAGGACATTGTTTTATATAAATGTTTTGGCACTAGGAGAGCGGTCATGGCGCAGCCTTACTGTGAATGTGCGGCTCTAATTGGAGACTGATACAGCTGTGTTGTCTTTGGGATTCAAATAGCATGACCTTATAGTCTCAGATGATGAACAACTCCTGCTAAGGTTTTGAAGACAAAAGTACCAGTTTCTTTCATTTTACCTGGTGGTTGCAATCTTAGAACTATATTAAATACACTAGAACAATATGAGAATTGCTCCTTATACATAATCAGCAGTTACAATCTAGACCTAAATTGTCTAAAGTGGACATTTGAAAATTGTATGTGATTGTGACAGATAATGTGGGATATAAGCACCTTTGTCTCCTTCAGAGTGATGGTACCCCCCAATTATTGTGAAAACCAAACTATCCTCATAAATTTCCAGACCTCCCAGGGGGCAATGCCAACCCTTCTGAATAGCAGAGTTTTATTCCATCCACATCCCCCAGGGGATTTAGTCAGAAGACAGGACAATGAGAGCTGCTGTCATATCCAAATCCCAAGAGACTTCTCCTTGCCTGTCCTGCCAATCTAATTAAATAAACTATAATAATATTACCAGGTCGATAGCTTGGGAAAGGTGTTGTTTGTTTGTTTTGAAGGGAGGACTGCTGCATATCGAAGCAATTTTGCACGATGGCTGTGATGGAGCAGAGATTCTTCATCCATACTGCCTGCTTTTGGAGCCAGTGACACTGTCACTTACTAGCTATGTGATCCTGCACTAGTTACCTAACCTCTAAGTGTCTCCGTTTTTTCACTTGAAAATAAATAGGCACATTGAGTATCTACCTTGTAGGATTGTTGTGAGAATTTATTAAGCTGGTACATGTCATGTGCTTTGAATAGTGCCTAACACGTAGCACTATGGACACGGTGCACTGAAGAGAGACTTACAAGAAGAGCGAAAAGGCAAGGACAAGCTTTTTAAAGGTGAGAAAGGAAATTATTAAACTACAAGGCTGAAGATGAAACAGATCATATGTGTTGATTTTCTCTCATAGTGCATCTTTACCAGAGCTCCGATATTTTTTAATGGGCAAAATTCAAAAATTCAGCCTCATGCTTTTCTTCTCCTTCCTTTTGGCAAGGATAATAATAGTTAATAGCTAACAATTATAGAGCTCTTACTCTATGCCAAGCATGGTACTAATAGATTTACAAACATTGTGTCATTTAATTTTTAAACAAATCTATGAGGTAGATACTATTAGTATCCCCATTTTGGCTGGGCGCGGTGGCTCACACCTGTAGTCCCAGCGCTTTGGGAAGCTGAGGCAGGCAGATTGCTTGAGCCTGGGAGTTCAAGCTCCTGGGCAACATGGCAAAACGCTGTCTCTATTTAAAAAAAAAAAATCCCATTTTAACCTACAGGAGAATGAGAGAGTTTGAATAATTAACAGACTGTTGCAGCGATTTAACCTACAGGAGAATGAGAGAGTTTGAATAATTAACAGACTGTTGCAGCGATTCAGGCTCAAACCGTCTAATTCTAGAGTCCATTCTTTTTTCTTTCTTTCTTTCTTTTTTTTTTTTTTTTGAGACAGAGTCTTGCTCTGTCGCCCAGGCTGGAGTGCAGTGGCGCCATCTGGGCTCACTGCAAGCTCTGCCTCCTGGGTTCACGCCATTCTCCTGCCTCAGCCTCCCGGGTAGCTGGGACTACAGGCGCCCGCCACCACGCCCGGCTAATTTTTTTTGTATTTTTAGTAGAGACGGGGTTTCATCGTATTAGCCAGGATGGTCTCGATCTCCTGACCTCGTGATCCGCCCGCCTCGGCCTCCCAAAGTGCTGGGATTACAGACGTGAACCACTGCACCTGGCCTCAGAGTCCATTCTTTTAATCGCTGTGCGACAGTAAACAATGAAATAAAATAAAGACACCACTTAAGAGAAGCCTCAACCCTGGAAGCCTGTGGACCATCTCAGATTAATTGTGCTGGGTGACTAATCCTTGACATTTTCTGGCTAGCTCTGGGATTTTGATGTTCAGCATGCTGGTGGCGGTTTTGGTTTTGTTTTAAAAGTGGATTAGTGTCTATTAACCACAACGTATTGTATATTTTCCAGTAGCTAGAAAGGCAGATTTTGAGTGTTACCAACACAAATAAATGATAAATGTTTGAGGTGGTGGATATGCTACTTTACTCTGATTTGATCATTACACATTGTGTATACGTGTAAAAATATCATACTGTATGGCCAGGCATGGTGGCTCATCCCTGTAATCCCAGAACTTTGGGAGGCTGAAATGAGCAGATCACTTGAGTCCAGGAGTTTGAGACCAGCCTGGGCAACATGTTGAAACCCCATCTCTGCAAAAAATATAAAAATTAGCCAGGTGTGGTCGTGCACACCTGTAGTCCCAGCTACTTGGGAGGCTGAGGTGGGAGGATGACTTGAGTCTGGGAGGTTGAGGTTGTAGTGAGCCGTGATTGCACTATTGCACTTCAGCCTGAGTGACAAAGTAAGATCCCGTCTAAAAAAAGAATCATGCTGTACCTCATAAATGTTTACAATTATTATGAGTCAATATAATAAGAGTAAAAAAGTGGATTAGTGTCTAAGTCAGGACTGCCCAAAGCACTTTCTGTAATGAAAGAAAGGTTTTATACTTGCTCTGTCCAATATGGTAATCAGCCAGTAGTCACATGTGGTTATTGATCACTTGAAATGTGGCTAATGTGACCGAGGAAGTTGATTTTCAATTTTATTGAATTTTCATTAACTAGCCAAATGTGGCCAGTATTGGAGAGCACAAGTCTAGATCACGTAAAGAGGGCACAGAGATCAAGTAAAGAGGACGCAGAGATCAAGTGCTTGCAGGGGCTTTCTAAATGCTGCAGTTTTGTTGACTTAGTTCTGTCTCTTTAACTTGCAAACTCCTCACTGTACTTTTTAGCAGAAGCAGGAGTCTGCAAGCAGATATAGACATAATACATATAGATGATGGGACTTCTGTCTTTTTGGATATGGAGGCCTCGTGGCCATGTCTTCATGTCTGTCTTTGTCTAGCAGGTGGGTGCCGTATGTGAAGTCTTCTAGTGTGCTCACAGGTTATCAGTCTCAGCATCCTGGGTTCAGCTGAACTGACTCAAGGAAGCTCTAATTATTGCGGCATATGTTTCAGTTTTCAGGCTGGAGGAAATGTGTTCCCTTCAGTCTGAAGTCAGCACAGATGGGATCTTGAGCCAAGGCCTCAACACACAAAAACAAAACTGCTAACCTTTCACAGCTGCCGTGGTGCTGCTGACCTCAGCAGCGGTGGCCACCAGGGTATGTGTAAAGCTTTTATAACGAAAAGCAAAAAATTTCCACTTACAGCTATCATTGTGATTCGAATTTAAGATAGGTCAATGAAGGGTGATATGCTGGCTGGCTTTATTTATTTTAAAGGTTAGCGGCCTTAGAGCAACACTAGGTTGGTTGTGTTGGGTGTGTCCTATGTAGAGCAGCATACATGCCAAGTCAGGTGTGCATCCAAACCTGAATAAATTTCCATGAGACCCTTGACTTTGAATCAGGGTATCTGAGACGTTTCACATGCTTTGTATATGTTTTCTATGCTTGTCACAAATGTATGTGTGCTTGAACACGGATATATATTTCTTGTTTTTTGAGCCCTATAAATGGTATCATTGCTGAATATAGTCTTATGAAATTTAAAAATGCTCAGCATTACATTTTCAGCATGTATGTGTTATTGCACATAGCATTAGTTATTAATTTTCACCACTTTGTGATATTCTGTGGTATAGCATAGACCACACTTTATCAGTTTTTCTGTCAGTGGACCTCTGGGTTATTTCCTAGTTAAATGTTCTTACCACTGATTATACCTTCTCTTATACTACTGTTAGAAGGCAGCAAGGATAGGGAATAAATTATCCATATCTCATAGAAGGAGAGACCAGAGGAGATGAACTAGGAAGATAGGATATATGTTTAAAACAGGGAGTAAAGAAGGAAACTGGGATATATTTTTCTTGGTATGTGCAACCATCACTAATGCCATCTGATTTAACTCCTGGGCTCAAGCAATCCTCTTGCCTCAACTTCCCGAGTACTTGGGGCTACAGGCATGTGCCATCATTTCTGGCTAATTAAATTTTTTTTTTTTTTAAGACACAGGGCCTTACTATGTTGCCCAGGCTGGTCTCAAACTCCTGGCCTAAAGCAGTCCTCCTACCAAGGCCTCCCAAATTTCTGGGATAACAGGCTGAACCACTGCACCTGGCCAACTGTAATTTATGCAACTAGTTCTGTGTAGTCCTTACTCTTCTAGTAATTTTCCATTAGTCAGGGAGGAACTAAAAAAGCCATGTAGTCCAGGATCACCCTTAATCAGCCACAAATAGAGTAAATTGGTTTATCAGAAGTTTGCCATATGAGTTTTGTTTGTTTTTAATGGTGACTCTTAATGGACAGTTCGGGTAGAATGGGGTGCCAGCCTAGCAAATGAGTGAGCTTCATTTTTATTCAGTCTGTGACATTTTTGACTACCACCAGTGCATAATAGAACTTAAGTATAGATTGAAAATTTATTTTCATGATTTTAAATTATTGACTGCTATTGCTAGGCCAGAGATCATGTAGCCCAAGTGATTGTGCAGCTGAATAGAGAAAAATCTCTTTATAGTAAATGGAGGCTGGAAAATGGCATTGCTCGTTGCAGGTGGCTATTGTACTTGCTCATGTTTTATTTAGGTGTTTAGCAGTGCCATTTGAGCTTCTAATTAAAGTTGTGATTACACTTCAGTTGTTTAGGAAGCCTCACATAGACTTAATCATCAGATCAGCTTGATGAGGATTTGCAAAGGTAAGCTTTATTACTTCACACAGTGGCTTCTAGCCTCTATCTTGACTGTGAAGGGAGCATTGATTCATAAGAACATAACAAATAGTTCAATGATGTTTGAAGTATATTGAGTGGAGAATGAAATGCAGAAGTCTGTTACAGACACTCTGTCTCGATTAACCTCTCTAACCCTTCTATTTAGTTTGATGGATAGAGGGATTTGTGCCCTGAAATCACAGAGGTATCACGTGCTCAGATATGGGATCATCTTTAAGATGGCGTTGTTAATCATTTTAGCTGATCGAGACTCATTTTAACTGGTTTGAACAGTTTTGCCTCACATTTTATTATGGTCTTTTATAAATTTGGAAAATAGTTGGCAAGTTTAATAATAAATTTGTTCATCAGGATGAAGAAACATCTGTATTTTGATATTTGCTGAAATGTGTGATATGCTAATCCTATATATGTTGAATTGATGTTTCTGTGATTACAGTAAAAATATCACAACTCTGTCTTTTGCCATTATATTGGAAAAAGAGAGGATGAAGGTAATAGGTACTGTTTAGAGAGGTTATTCTTCTTTCAGACTACAATGTATTATGGATGAACAATCTTAAAATAGTATTTGAGGCCAGGCACGGCGGCCCACGCCTGTAATCCCAGCACTTTGGGAGGCTGGGATGGGCGGATCACCTGAGGTCGGGAGTTCGAGACCAGCCTGACCAACATGGAGAAACCCCATCTCTACTAAAAATACAAAATTAGCCGGGCGTGGTGGCACATGCCTGTAATCCCAGCTACTCGGGAGGCTGAGGCAGGTGAATCGCTTGGACCTGGGAGGTGGAGGTTGTGGTGAGCCAAGATCGTGCCATTGCACTCCAGTCTGGGCAACAAGAGTGAAACTGGCTCAAAAAAAAAAAAAAGCACCTGAATTACTGGGATTTAAGAACATTGCTACTGGATGTTTTAGAACTTTATATGATTATTACATACTCTATTTTTTATTTTTAAAAATTTAAGGCTGGGCATGGTGGCTCATGCCTGTATCCTAGCACTTTGGGAGGCTGAGGTGGGCAGATCACCTGAGGTCAGGAGTTCAAGACTAGCCTCGCCAACATGGTGAAACCCTATCTCTACTAAAAATACAAAAATTAGCCAGGTGTGGTGGCACATGCTTGTAATCCAGCTACTTGGTAGGCTGAGGCAGGAGGATATCTTAAATCTGAGGGGCAGAGTTTGCAGTGAGCCGAGATTGCACCACTGCACTCCAGCCTGGGCCACAGAGCAAGACTGTGTCTCAAAAAAAAAAAAGTTTAAATAGAGATGGGGTCTTGCTGTGTTGCCCAGGCTGGTCTTGAACTCATGGGCTCAAGAGATACTCCTGCCTTGGCCTCCCAAAGTGCTGAGATTTAGAGGTGTGAGCCACCATGCCTGGGCCTTATTTTTTAGAGTTTAATATCATCAGCTTTTTTCCATTTGAAAGACTCTCCTTGGTTACCTAGAAATTTTATTTTAGCTTTCATAAAAAGCTTTGCTTTGAAAGTGATCACTGAATTAATCTAAGGAAATATGAGTCTTAAGATACTGTGATGATGTTCAGCTGCCTCGAATACTTTTTAAAAAGTTAGTATAGTGTTCATGATGTATGAACAGTTTCTTTTGATTTATGAGCTTCAGATTTTGTGAATTTTATGAATTTTGAGTGTGTCTGAAAAAGACAGTGGTAGGAATAAAGTAATTTCTTTCCACATGAATCTGTTTTTCAGTGTTTTCCGAAGAAAACATATTTGTATACTGTATAATTCATAGTGGTTTTTTTTTTATTTGCCTAGGATAATGAAATAAAGTACATTGGGTATTTTATTACATGGCTGATATTGTTTCTCTTGGCTGCTTTGTTTGTTTTGTTTTCTCTTAGAAAAATATCTCAAGTCTTGTATCTCAACTACAGTAGCCTGAAAGGGGCAAGGAATTTTCTATTGGAAATGGCCAGGAAACTATACTGCATCAAAAGATTGAAGTCATAAAATAGCACAATTAATGACCGATACCAATCATAATATTGTTTCTTAAAGTTGTCTTAACACTGAAATAATTTTAAAAAAATGGTTTTGGATCCAGACACAGTGGCATGTGCCGGTAATCCCAGTTACTTGGGAGGCTCGGGCGGGAGGACTGCTTGAGCCCAGGAGTTTGAGACCAGCCTGGGCAACCTAACAAGACACCATTTCAAAAAAAATAAACAAACAAATAAATAATGGCTTTGAAATAAAATGTTGAAATGCAAGTAGTAGCTGGTATAGCTGCGAAGAATATTTGTAAAAGGCACTTAATATACTGTTTCAGTGTCTTAAGTTACTATCCTGCTAGACTAAGCTTTGTGAAGGCAGGCACTGTTTCTGTTCTGTGCTTATTCCTCACTGCCTATCACAGTATGTGGGTAAATAAATGTTAGATGAATAAATGAACGAGTGACCTGTTAAACTGATGGCAGTGTCTTAAAATTAGTCACCTAGCAATGGAGCATTTTTTAGGATTATATATCTGAAATATATAACTTTTGATCTTTACCTTTTTTTTTCTTTTGGGAAAACAGAGAAAGATGAAACAGAGAAAGATGAAAATTTTAGCATACAACTTTAGTATAAAATTAATGTAATCTTAGTGGTCTTGTTTAATGGCTTGCTAATGTCAGAGTTTTGAGGACGTGGATACAGTGAGAATATAACAAATTCATAATTGTAATTTGCTGATTTTTAGATCAGACTCAATTTCTATGCTTGAATTTTATGTTTGCTAATACAAATAATTTGAAAGCCAATGTTAATACATCTCATAGCCTCAGTAATAAAGTTGACAGGATGACATGTTGCTACAAATCCATAAATGGTATGGCTTACTTTATAGTTTGGTAGGACATAAGTTCCTTAAGGATAGGCATGTGTCTTTTTCATTTTTGTTTCTTTTTCACAGTACTTTTTAAAATAGTATCTATTAAAAATGAGAGGCTGGGCATGGTAGCTCACGCCTGTAGTCCCAGCACTATTGGAAAGCTGACCCGGGCAGATCAGTTGAGCCCAGGAGTTCGAGACCGGCTTGGGCAATGTGGAAAAACCCAAAAGTACAAAGAAGTAAAAAAAATACAAAAATTAGCCAGGTATGGTGGCACACATCTGTAGTCCCAGCTACTTGGGAGGCTGAGGCGGGAGAATTGCTTGAACCTGGGAGGTGGAGTCTGCAGTGAGCAGTGATCATGCCACTGCACTCCAGCCCAGGTGACAGAATGAGGTTGTGCCTCAAAAATAAATAAATAAAAATAAAATATGGGGCTGGGCAAGGTGGCTCACACCTGTAATCCCAGCACTTTGGGAGGCCGAGGCAGGTGGATCATTTGAGGCCATGAGTTCAAGACCAGCCTGGCCAACATGGTGAAACCCTGTCTCTACTAAAAATACAAAAAAACTAGCTGGGCGTGGTGGCACATGCCTGTAGTCCCAGCTACTTGTGAGGCTGAGGCAGGAGAATCGCTTGAACCTGGGAGGCGGAGGTTGCAGTGAGCCAGGATCATGCCACTGCACTGCAGCCTGGGAGACAGAGCAAGACTCTGTCTCAAAACAAATAAATAAGATAAAATAAAAATAAAATATATGAAAAATTTGTGTACAGTTGAAATCTCAAGAGAAAATCTACAACTATCTACTCCTTTATGGTATGACTAATTACGCTGGGCAATCAGTCTTTTTATTAATAGTAGAAAGAGGGCTGGGTGTTGGATGTTGTTTGATACTGTCTATTTTATATAGCTCTTGTCAGACTCATCACTAGTTCTTGAATTCTGTTTCTTTGGGTTCTGTGAATGCTCTCACCTGTTTATCTTCCTCCATTGTGCATACCTCATTCTCAGTTTTTCTCTTCCAGTCTCCTCCTCCTTTTGGCTCCTGCTGATCTGACTAACCTGAGCCCCAGTGTCTCCCTCTTTGTGCTCTGTGCTTCAGTCACTCTATACTATTTACAGTCCCCTGAATGTACTGTTTACCATTGTACATGCTTTTCCTTGTCAGCCTGGTTTAACCCTTGCCCTTTAAGAACCACTCTAAGTATTTCATTTGTGAAGCTATTCCCAAGTAGAGGTCATCACCACTGCATGTTGTACATCTCTCTATGGTAGCTTTTACCATACCTTATTATAGATTCTCATCTATGAAACCAGCTTTGCAATGATTATGACAGAGAAGTCCAGCATGGCTGACTCCGCCTTCTAAGCTCACAGGCGGGCTGTCCTTGCCCATTTCTGGGCGTGGGCCAAACTAACCACGGGAAGAATTGAGTGTGTCGTTTAACCTTGGAGCAAGGATGAAAACAGTCCCTCCCTCAAATTAACTCCCTTCTTGCTCAGGGACTGAAGCTGCCTTTGTAAAATTAATGAAAGCCGATGAGATTAGGATGATGGGAAGAGCCTGAAATTCTGCTGAGATGTAGGGATAGTTAGACCATAACCAGCCATTGTTCCGGAGATCACAAGATTTGTAACTTCTCCAATTGCTCCTACAGATGACGTCTCTATTGTAGAGCCTAAGATTGGTCTTTTGAGATGTTTTTCAGACTTTAGCATTCTAGTGATTGACGGATTCCACCCAGACCCACGACCCAGGACTCAACCAGTCTTGTTGTTGTTGTTGTTGTTCTTTCTCCCCTCCCCTCCCCTCTCCTCTTTTCTTTTCTTGCTTTTTTTTTTTTTATGACTCAACCAGTCTTGTGCCCCCACCCCAGAGGCCGACTCAACACACAAGGCCTGTTTTCTACACCCCTATGATTTCATCCCAAACCAGTCAGCATTCCCCATTCCCTGTCCCCCTGCCTGCTGAATTATCCTTGAAAAGCCCTGGTCCCCGAGCTTGTGGGGAGGCTGATTTGAGTAATAAACTCCTGTTCTTTTGCTTGGCTGGCTCTGTGTTTGTAACCTCTTTCTCCACTGCTGTCATTTATACTGTTGTCTCTGAATCAGCTCTATCTGTGCAGCAGGCAAGAAGAACCCATCAGGTGACTACATCTGTCTAGGTATATTTTTCCTACTAGACCATTCACTTCTTGAGGGCCTGGCAATAATAAACATTTGTTTTTTTCCATGATGGATAAGTAAGGAATTTAGGATAGCTGTGTTAAAATAGCTCCTATCTTCGGAGATGGTTTTTCAACCGAGAGCACAAAAGGTATCATCTGAAATAGTTAAGAAGGTCACAGAGCTAATATATGATGTACCAGCAGTCCCAACCTTTTTGGCACCAGGGACTGGTTTCTTGGAAGATCATTTTTCCACAGACTGGAGGACAGGGGATGGCTTTGGGATGATTCAAGCACATTACATTTATTATTAGATTCTCATAAGGAGTGTGCAGCCTAGATCCCTCGCACACACAGTTCATAGCAGGGTTTATGCTACTATGAGAATCTAATGCTGCCGCTGATCTGACAGGAGGTGGAGCTCAGGTGGTAATGCCTGCTTGCCCGCTACTCACCTCCTGTCGTGCAGCCAGGTTTCTAACAGGCAACAGACTGACAGTGGTCCATGAACAGGCAAAGAGATGGTACAGTTTTCCGAAGAGCATACCCATCCTAAGGATTCCTAATCTCTAGAAATTCTACATCACAGTGACACACTCCTTTAGTATCTTCAGCCATGCTTGGTAAATAAATATTGTTGCTGTGGTTAAGCCGTAGTTTTTGTACTTGTTGAGTGTATTAGTTCTCACACTGCTATAAAGACACATGGGAGACTGGGTAATTTATAAAGAAAAGAGCTTTCATCAGCTAATGATTCTGTAGGCCATACAGTCTTCTGCTTCCTTGGGAAACATACAATCATAGTGAAAGACAAAGCGGAAGCAAGCACATCTCACCATGGCTGGCAGGAGAACAACCAGGTCTCGTGAGAACGTACTGTCACAAGAACAGCAAGGGGGAATGTGCCCCATGATTCAGTCGTGCCCCACCAGGCCCTCCTTCAACACTGGGGATTATAATTCAGCTTGAAATTTGGGTGTGGACACAGAGCCAAACCATATCATTGAGTATATGAAAGCACTGGTTATCTTAAGTATCAAAATAAACCGATGTTGCATAATAGTTTGTTCTTTGGTCTTAGGAAAGTTATCCTGAATTAGTCCAGTGTGCGTTGATGATGTATATCCAGTTCTGATCCAGAAGCTGTCTGATGGTCCAGATAGGATGCTAAGGAGGGAGCAGAAACTTCGAGAGCTTTGTGGTTTGATATATAATTAGTAAGTGAGCCGTTGGGAACAAAAAAGCTTTGATAATGAATAATCAGCTAGCTGAGAAGCTAACACTAAAATTTCCAAACAGTATAGGATCAAGAAAAATGGAGACATGTACCAGTAGGATATTGATGTACGTATACCTATAAAGCCCAATTTGCAAAAGCTAATTTATTTCTGTCATTTATATATGAGCAACTCATACTTCCATCCTAAAGTAAATAGTATTTTTCTAGACTGTCCGATAATTTGGGGTGTGTTCCTAAGGCCCCTTACATGATGAGATATAGTGACCCTCACTCTCATAAAGGCTCTTGACCAAGTTCTTCCTCTAAACATTTTTCTTTTTCCTGGTAAACTACCTCAGATATTTAGCTAACCTTGTAATCTTAAAATCAGGTTTTAAAAGCCACCCTATCATCTTAGGTGTCTATCATAGGTGTCTTGACGTCTGCAGGCTCTTGCCATGTGATTTTCTTGTTCTTATTCACTAGGTGGTGGCAGAGCATAGAGGCAGCGATCGGGCTCCTCTCCCCTGACAGTGGTGGGTTCGTCTTCCCTGTCCAGCCGTGGTGGGTTCCTCTTCCCTGTCTGACCATGGTGGGTTCCTCTTCCCTGTCTGACTGTGGTGGGTTCGTCTTCCCTGTCTGACTGGTGTGTTCGTCTTCCCTGTCCAGCCATGGTGGGTTCGTCTTCCCTGTCTGACTGTGGTGGGTTCGTCTTCCCTGTCTGACTGTGGTGTGTTCGTCTTCCCTGTCCAGCCATGGTGGGTTCCTCTTCCCTGTCTGACCGTGGGGGTCCACTCGCAGTAGTAGTGCACATTGTCCACTTGTGAAAAAGGTGGAACTTGTGAGAGGCACGTAACAGCCAGTGGTTTTGCCTTGTCTATTTTAAGAGAACCCGTGAGGATGATTGAAATGACTCTTTGAAAAGAATCAATTTGTCTCAGGCTGAAGGAAAATAGAAGAAACGGAACATTTCCACTTGGACTGCATGAGAGATGTTGGTATTGAGGTTGCTATTCAGACAGCATTGAAACATTTCATTGAAACATTTGAAGGATGGAGCAAAATGTTAAGATATATTTCTACACTTGGACTTTGGCATTTAGAGCTTTCCTCGTTCCAAAAGATCCATGCTATTTGGTTCTGGTTTGGTTGCTTGGGGATAGTGGTAAAAATAGAGCCTTCTGTTTTAAAATGGAGGGAGCAGGAATTGCTTTCTTGCTGTTGACTGCTTGTCCCAGGAGGTTCTACCCAACAAGTGACCGAATTGCCTCTCTTATATCATAAAGCATAGCTAGGTTCAGGAGCCTCTCTTATATCATAAAGTGTAGCTGAGTTCAGGAGCCTCTCTTATATCATAAAGCATAGCTAAGTTTGGGAGCCTCATATCATAAAGTATAGCTGAGTTCGGGAGCCTTTCATATAATAAAGTGTAGCTAAGTTCGGGAGCCTCTCATATCATAAAGCATAGCTACGTTTGGGGGTCTGTCTTATATAAGAAAGCATAGCTGAGTTCAGGAGCCTCTCATATAATAAAGAGTAGCTGAGTTCGGGAGGCTCTCTTATCTCATAAAGCATAGCTGAATTCAGGAGCCTCTCAAATATCATAAAGCTTAGCTAAGTTTGGGAGCCTCTCACATAATAAGGCATAGCTAGGTTCGGGAGCCTCTCTTATATCATAAAGCATAGCTGAGTTCGGGAGGCTCTCATATAATAAAGCATAGCTAAGTTTGGGAGTTGATTGCTGCTATGTTCATTGTTCAGTCTTTACAACAATAGGACTTAAGAGCCTGATATTGGTGATTTCTTGTTTTCGAATATTCTGATTTCTCTGTCAAAAGCCTGTGTTCCAGTGAAATCCAAAGCAGAATTCCAAAGGTTGGTGGAAATGATTAAGGTTCGGCCTCTGCCATAGGTTCCTGCTGTATGTTTACATTGTACGCCCCTCAGTATTGGTGTTCTGACATCAGGATCTTGTGTGTGCAGTGAGGTTTGTGTACTGTGGGGTTAAACTTCCTTTCGTTATGGCAAGGAGGTACACAGGAGTTCTCTCACAGTGTATATTGGTGAGAAACAGCTGTTTGGATTCTATTCTTAAAGGAAATGAATACTTACATTCCAATGTGTTAGAGATCTTGGGTTTTGTCAGTTATACATACTACATAGCTGTGCTATATATGAGTTAGTTTGCCTAATATTTTAGGTACTTATTGATAAGAGTAATCAGAAAACATACATGATTGTCCTACTAGTATCATTTCTTTCTTGAAGGACATAAGGATAACAGTTATTTATTAGGATGTGACACCAGAGAGGAGTAATTTAACTGATTAGGTTTTCTTTATTTTCTGTTTCTGTGAAATAAAAGCAAAGCTAAGAAAGATGGAATTCATGTGGAAAAATCCTTTGCTTCTTTCTAGCTGTTAATGCTAGTTTTCAATTTTCACCATAGATGTCACCAAAGCATAGAAAGTAGTTCAGAGTTAGAAATAAGACAATTGTTTTTAGATTTTTTTATAAAGACAGGGTCTTGCTCTCTTGCACAGGCCGGAGTGCAGTGGCGCGATCTTGGCACACGGCAGCCTCACTTCCCAGGGTCAAGCAGTCCTCCTACCTCAGCCTCCCAAGTAGCTGGGATAACAGGTGCCTGCCAGCATGCCTGGCTAATTAAATTTTTTTTTTTTTTTTTTTTTTTTTTTAGAGATGGGGGTCACGCTATGTTGCTCAGGCTGGTCCCAAACTCCTGGGTTCAAACAGTCCTCCTACTTTGGCCTCCCAAAGTGCCAAGATTATAGGTATGAGCCACTAGGCAATTCTATGCCTAGCCTGTAATTTTATCTAATATTATAAATTTCTCATGCTGTTTAACTTTTTGAGAAATATTACATCAGTACACAAAGTGCTTATGTTAGAATGTATTGCTTTGGTTGAGAGAAATAGATGAAGTCCTTTTTGAAAATGAGCTAATTGTGATGCTTCTCTTAGTGATTTTGTGATGTATGTAGGAATCCTGAACACGGGATCAGGCAGCCTCTGGTTCTGTCACTGAGTAACTGGATTATAATGGTCAAGCTTAAACATTTTTTAAGTTAGTTTTTTAAAAAAAGAACTTCATTGAGATATAATTCACATCTCATATACTTCACTCATTTAAATTGTATAGTTCTGTGTATTTTTTTTAACATAGTCTCAGAGTTGTTTAGCCATTACCTATTTTAGAACATTTTCCTTCTTTCTAAAATAAAACTTGTACTCATTATATGGATTGTATAATTACTCAGTATTTAACGATTTGTGGGACTACCAGGTTGTTTCCTAAGTGATAAACCATTTTACTTTCCCACCAGTAAGTATGAGGGATCTTTCTTCTCATTTTTGTCAACACCTGTATTCTCTGTTTTTTAAACTACAGCCTTCTAGTGTGTTTGAAGTCGCCTGTCTTTGTGGTTTTGATTTCTATTTCCATAATGATTGATGATGTTGAACATGTTTCTATATGCTTATTGACTATTTGTGTATCTTCTTTTAGTGAAATGTTTCTTTATTCTAATTGAGTTTTTTTTTTTTCTTTTTCTTTTTCTTTTTTTTTTGCTGTTGAACCATCTCTAAAAACTAGTACCTTCAAGGCCAGGCATGGTGGGCTCACACCTATAATCCCAGCACTTTTGAAGGTGGAGGTGGGAGGATGACTTGAGGCCTGGAGTTCAAGGCCAGCCTGGGCAACAGAGTGAGACCACATCTCTACAAAAAATTTAATAATTAGCTGGATGTGGTGGTGTGTTCTTGTAGTCCCAGCTATTCGGGAGGTGAACCTGGGAGGATCGCTTGAGCACAGGAGATTGAGACTGCAGTGAGCCACACTGCACTCCAGCCTGGGCAAGACAGTGAGATCTTGTGTCTAAAAACCCCCTCAAAAGTAGTCCTTCATAATGGAGTTATTATGAGGATTGAAATAATTGATATATGTGAAATACTTAGCACAGTACCTGACACATAGTGAGTGCTCCTCTCATGTTGGTTATTATTGTTATTATTGCCTAAAGTAATTCTTTCATGCGTTTCATGTTTCCTGGTCATTCTATTTTAATTCCTCTGATATGAGTTGTGAAAAAAATCTTCAACTCCCATTTTCACCAACCTTGGTCCTTCCTACATGTGTTCAATTGTTCATTTGTTCGTTTATCCTTCATTTAGCAAGCATTTACCGAATGCCTATTATGTGTCATGTTTTGTGATAGAACCTGATGCTGCAAACTGGAAAAAAAAAGGATGAAAGTCTGGAGGGAAATTCAAATGATAGTTGGAGAGCAATGAGAGCTTTATTGTAGGTATTTGCAAGCTTCGGTGAAGTATTCAGAGAAGGGTTTGGTGATAAGCTGAAACTGGAGGGATGAGTGGGAGTTTCTGATGCAAATATTGAGGTCAGTGTTATGGATAGTGCAAGGGTATGTTCAAAGGCATAGGAATTTGAAGACATTGAATGTTCGGGGTAAGATGAGATTTATAGGATGCTGCCATGGGTTGTGCTGATAGGAGTTGGGAATGTGATATGAACAGCTGGAGACGGGAGTACCAAATAGGAAAGCACCTCTCTTGCTTCTGGATCTTTAATGCTCAGAAAATTCTTCCCTCTCTCCTTTTTACATATTTAGCTTTTCATTATGAAATGTGTTACTTTTCATTATCAAATGTTCCTCCTTGTCTCTAGTAATATGTGTGTCTTAAAGTGTATTTTGTTTGATATTAATATAGTCACTGCAGCATTCTTATGATTACTGGTTTGTTTTCTTTTGAACTTGTTTGTATCTTTGAATCTAGTATATATCTCCTATAGACAGAATATGGTCGAGTCTTGCATTTTTGGTTCTCTTTTCCTTTCCCCTCCTCTCTCCTTCTCTCCCTCTCTCCCCCTCTCCTTTTTCCCTCTCTCCTTCTCTCTCTCTCTCTCTCTCTTTTTCTCTCTCTTTCTCTCTCTCTCTTTCTCTCTCTCTCTCTCAATAAGGTCTCGCTTTGTTTCTCAGGCTGGAGTGCAGTGGTGGAATCAAAGCTCACCGTAGCCTTTATCTCCTGGGCTCAAGCAGTTCTCCTACTTAAGCCTCCCATGTATCTAGGAATATAGGTGCATGCCACTGTGCCTTTTTTTTTTTTTTTTCAGATATAGAGTCTCGCTTAGTTGCCCAGGCTGATCTTGAACTCCTGGCCTCGAGTGATCCTCTCACTTTGACCTCCCAAAGTGTTGAAATTATAGACATGAGCCATCGCACCCAGCTGAAGCTTGCTTTTAAAACTCCAGCCTGATGGTCTCTTCCTTTTGATGTGAATGTTTGGTACATTCATGCTTAATGTAATTTTGGATATGGTTGGATTTATGTCTGCCATTTTGATTTTTGTTTTCTATAGGTTTGATGTCTTTTTTGTCTTCCTCTGTTCTTCTATTACATTTGCGTTAAATATTTTTGGAGTGTACCGTTTTAATTCATCTGTTGATTTTTTTAAAAGTCATCTGTTGTTGTTGTTGTTGTTGCTCTAGTGCTGTACTGCCCACTGCAGTAGCCACTAGCTACATGTGGCTGTTGTGCACTTGAAATGTGGCTAGTCTGAATTTATGTGTGCTAAAGTGAAATACAAATCAGATTTCAATGACTTAATAGGGAATGTAAAATATTCATAATTTTTGTATTGATTATATGTTGTCATAATACTTTGGATATGTTGGATTAAATAAAATATGTTGTTAAAGTTTCATGTTTTAAAAACCTTTAAAATATTACTAGAAAATTAAAAATTATATATGTGACTTATATTTATGGTTCTCATATTTCTGTTGGATAGCATTGCTTTAAGGATTACAGGATGAATCTTGAACATAGCATAATCTGAAAGTTTTATAGTTACTTAATCTAGTGAAGTATGGTAACTTTGTTCCCATACAGCTTCATCCCTCCCCATTCTGCATTGTGCTATTTTTGTCATGTACTGTCCATCTATATATGTTATCCACTGAATAATGGTTTTTACCTTAAGCCAATCTTAGGATTTGTAAAGAAATTAAAAATACAGTATATAATATACAGGCTTTTATATTTACCTACATATCAACAATTTCCAGTATTCCTTCTTATGGAGTTTGCTTTTTTTTTTTTTTTTTTTTTTTTTTTTGGAGACAGAATCTTGCTCTGTCACCCAGGCTGGAGTGCAGTGGCATGATCATAGCTCACTGTAGCCGTGAACTCCTGGGCTCAAGGGATCCTCCTACCACTTGCCCCAACTTGGACTATAGCGTTAGGGAACAAAGGTAAGGTTTTTCCCTTTTTGTCTCCCACCACATTTGCTACTTTAGCTGATAAAGACCTGGAGTTTTGCCCCCCATCCCGCAGCAGATCTGCCCCTTCTGGTAGCAAAGATACTGGCTTTTGCAGACAGCCCCAAGTTTGTCAAAGTTTTCACCACGGCAGCTGAGTGTAGGGTAGAAGCAGCCTGAGGCAAGGAGGTCCTCTAGAAACTGACTTCAACCTCGAGGTGATTTTCAAGAATGAATGCTTTCTACAAGGAGGTCCCCAGAAACTGACTTCAACCTCGAGGTGATTTTCAAGAATGAATGCTTTCTACAAGGAGGTCCTCTAGAAACTGACTTCAACCTCGAGGTGATTTTCAAGAATGAATGCTTTCTACAAGGAGGTCCCCAGAAACTGACTTCAACCTTGAGGTGATTTTCAAGAATGAATGCTTTCTACAAGGAGGTCCTCTAGAAACTGACTTCAACCTCGAGGTGATTTTCAAGAATGAATGCTTTCTACAAGGAGGTCCTCTAGAAACTGACTTCAACCTCGAGGTGATTTTCAAGAATGAATGCTTTCTACAAGGAGGTCCCCAGAAACTGACTTCAACCTCGAGGTGATTTTCAAGAATGAATGCTTTCTACAAGGAGGTCCCCAGAAACTGACTTCAACCTCGAGGTGATTTTCAAGAATGAATGCTTTCTACAAGGAGGTCCCCAGAAACTGACTTCAACCTCGAGGTGATTTTCAAGAATGAATGCTTTCTACAAGGAGGTCCCCAGAAACTGACTTCAACCTCGAGGTGATTTTCAAGAATGAATGCTTTCTACAAGGAGGTCCCCAGAAACTGACTTCAACCTCGAGGTGATTTTCAAGAATGAATGCTTTCTACAAGGAGGTCCCCTAGAAACTGACTTCAACCTCGAGGTGATTTTCAAGAATGAATGCTTTCTACAAGGAGGTCCCCAGAAACTGACTTCAACCTCGAGGTGATTTTCAAGAATGAATGCTTTCTACAAGGAGGTCCCCAGAAACTGACTTCAACCTCGAGGTGATTTTCAAGAATGAATGCTTTCTACAAGGAGGTCCCCAGAAACTGACTTCAACCTCGAGGTGATTTTCAAGAATGAATGCTTTCTACAAGGAGGTCCCCAGAAACTGACTTCAACCTCGAGGTGATTTTCAAGAATGAATGCTTTCTACAAGGAGGTCCCCAGAAACTGACTTCAACCTCGAGGTGATTTTTCAAGAATGAATGCTTTCTACAAGGAGGTCCCCAGAAACTGACTTCAACCTCGAGGTGATTTTCAAGAATGAATGCTTTCTACAAGGAGGTCCCCAGAAACTGACTTCAACCTCGAGGTGATTTTCAAGAATGAATGCTTTCTACAAGGAGGTCCCCAGAAACTGACTTCAACCTCGAGGTGATTTTCAAGAATGAATGCTTTCTACAAGGAGGTCCCCTAGAAACTGACTTCAACCTCGAGGTGATTTTCAAGAATGAATGCTTTCTACAAGGAGGTCCCCTAGAAACTGACTTCAACCTCGAGGTGATTTTCAAGAATGAATGCTTTCTACAAGGAGGTCCCCAGAAACTGACTTCAACCTCGAGGTGATTTTCAAGAATGAATGCTTTCTACAAGGAGGTCCCCAGAAACTGACTTCAACCTCGAGGTGATTTTCAAGAATGAATGCTTTCTACAAGGAGGTCCCCAGAAACTGACTTCAACCTCGAGGTGATTTTCAAGAATGAATGCTTTCTACAAGGAGGTCCCCTAGAAACTGACTTCAACCTCGAGGTGATTTTCAAGAATGAATGCTTTCTACAAGGAGGTCCCCAGAAACTGACTTCAACCTCGAGGTGATTTTCAAGAATGAATGCTTTCTACAAGGAGGTCCCCAGAAACTGACTTCAACCTTGAGGTGATTTTCAAGAATGAATGCTTTCTACAAGGAGGTCCTCTAGAAACTGACTTCAACCTCGAGGTGATTTTCAAGAATGAATGCTTTCTACAAGGAGGTCCCCTAGAAACTGACTTCAACCTCGAGGTGATTTTCAAGAATGAATGTTTTCTACAAGGAGGTCCCCTAGAAACTGACTTCAACCTCGAGGTGATTTTCAAGAATGAATGCTTTCTACAAGGATGTCCCCAGAAACTGACTTCAACCTCGAGGTGATTTTCCAGAATGAATGCTTTCTACAAGGAGGTCCCCAGAAACTGACTTCAACCTCGAGGTGATTTTCAAGAATGAATGCTTTTTCATTTGTTCTCTGCTTTGGTCTATTTTCAGTGCTCTGAAATGTTATTTTTAATATAATTTTTTCCAAATTTTATAGTTGTTTTATATAGTAACAAATTACTGACTTCTCCACATAGCTGTAACTAGAAGTCCTTCAGAACTCTTACTTTTCCTTCAGGTTTTCTTCCTCCGAGGAGACTTCCCTGCCTCACACTGCTGCTTTGCTTCAGGTCTCTCTGCTCTGTGTTCTGGTAATATCCTGTGCTTTCTATTGTCAGATTAATTGTCCTTATGCTAGACTGTAAACTCCAGGAAGCCAGGTACTTTTAAAATATTACATTTCTTTCTAAACACAATGTCTGGCACATGGTAACAAATATCTGTGGGATGAATAAATGTTAAACTGGCATTTTGAATCTGGTTTGGTACCATGTTCACTTTAAATGCCGTTGAGGGCCAACTGTGAGGTACTTAATACATTAAATGTTTTGCATATTTTATTTACTCCTTAAAACAAAGTTAACAGTGTTGCCTCCATGTTATAGATAAGAAGTCTGAAGCTAGAAAAGTTAACTAAGTTGTCCTCTAAATATTATAAATATTAAGTGTGAAGCCAAGATTCTCAGTCCATGTCTAAAGCTCATACCGTATACCATATGCTAAGTACGTTGCCTCATGCGGTGGTTAGAAGGGATATTTATCCACAGTTATTTTCATTTAAAGGAAGCTTCTAAATGGTAATATTATTTCTTAATAGTATTTCTGAGCACTGCCCTTTACCGTGTGCAAAGCAGTCTGCTTGCTGTATTCTCTATCTGCTTTTCTTGTGCGTTTTTCATGAGAGTCATATAACATAGGTAGTTCCCCAAAGGATATTAATGTACTGGCCTATACCTCGAAGACTCTCGCTTATTGTGTAGTCCCTTTTTCATATTCTGTGCACAAAAAGGTTTTTTTTTTTTATATCAGAAAGTATAACATTGTATAACATAGGATTGTATAACAATCTTATAATGTATAACAGGATTCACATCATACACGGCGGGAGGGGTAAACTATGTAATAAGTGGTCAATTTCTCCCACCCTTTCTCTCATTGTCATATTGTCTATAGAGACCAAGAGGTAAAACATAGTTTGTTGTTCTTGGGTCAGTCTCAGTTCTTATATGGTCTCCTCAGTAACATGAGTGACTGACAATTTTTTTTTTTTTTTAACAATTAAAAGATAACAGAGGTGAAATCTCACTATTGGCCAGGATGGTCTGGAACATCTGGCCTCAAGCAATCTTCCTGCCACAGCCTCCCAAAAGTGCTGGGATTACAGGCATGAGCCACTGCACCTGGCTGACAATTGCTTTTTTATCAACTTTAGCGCCTCTTTGTTCCTCCTGCTCCCTGGATAAAAATTATTAAAATGTTTAGTCTACCAGTAATCTTTGGTTCCTGACAACACTGAATTCACAACAGACTTCTGTTTTCTTTACCTTCTCCCATATCACCCAGTAGAAAACACAATCTCTATAGCAAGTTCATTTTAACTCCCCTTTGCAGAAATGCCCAGTTTCCTAGAGTACGCATTCTCCTTTTACTGTAGCAAGCCGATAAACCTAACTGGTGGTCTTCTGGCACTGGGCTTTCGCACCTCCAGATAACATGTATGTATTTTAGGCCAGACGCGGTGGCTCATGCCTGTAATCTCAGTACTTTGGAAGGTTGAGGCGGATGGATCACGAGGTCAGGAGATCGAGACCATCCTGGCTAGCACGGTGAAACCCTGTCTCTACTAAAAATACAAAAAATTAGCTGGGCGTGGTGGCAGGTGCCTGTAGTCCCAGCTACTTGGGAGGCTGAGGCAGGAGAATGGTGTGAACCCAAGAGGTGGAGCTTGCAGTGAGCCGAGATCGTGCCACTGCACTCCAGCCTGGGCGAAAGAGTGGCGGAAAAAAAAAAAGGTGTATGTGTTCTACTGCCTTCCTACTCAAAGTATGGTCCGTGGACAGGAGGCATCAGCATCACCTGGAAGCTTGTTACAAGTGCAGAAAAGCCCCACTTTCAGACCTACTGAGTTAGAATCTGCATTTTTAGTGATTGTGTTTGTTTTAAAAAAGTGATTTGTTTGAAAAGCACCGCTCTACACAGTTCCCGCTTTTGATGGTCCATGTCCATTTCATTTCTTGTTCATAGACAATATAATGCACAGTTTGGAGGGCAGTACTATTTATACGGGGTTCTTTACTGAATTCTTTCACTCAGATAATTCTTTTTATTTCCTTTACTGGAAACATTTCTAGTGTTAATTTTAAGTTACAGAAGGTGGGTCCTTTCTCTCCTAGGAATATGACTTAATGCAGTATACACAGATTTGAGGTGGGAGCAGAAATGCAGTAAGGCTTAATATTTATAACATTTTAATATTTTTAAAATATTTATATTTATAAAATACTTTAAAAGCCCGTAGTGCCATGTGAATTTTAAGTATTAAGAATAAATTGAAATACTTAGGAAATGGGTATATCCTAAGTATACTTAGGAAATGGGCATATCCGAAGTATTTCAATTTATTCCTAGTACTTAAAATTCGCATGTAGTTCTCTGTCTCAAATGTTACATGCTCATGATTCACTCAGATCAATTTTCAAGTAAGTATTGTGTTATGCACATAGTTTAAATAATTTACCAATTAAATTCAGTTTGAAAGACATGCTGGAGACAAAAGATAAATTTTCAATATTTGAGCACATAGGAAAAACCTAGTCTTGTAAGATTTTATTCAGTAAAATTCTTAGGCAGAAAATACCTAAGCTTTATCCTGCATGATTTTGATTTGTTTCATTTTTTTTAAATGTATGAATGAAAGATTTCTTTATTATAAATTTGGTCAGGTATTTATCACTGCGTAAGTCCTAGAGAATATTATGTAATGTCCCATGGGTGAAATATTTCTGAGGTATGAAGAAAATCAGCTCAATTCAGCTACTACAAATAATGTCTTTTGACAGATAGTAAATAGGAGAATCAGTTAACTACCTTAGTTGTCTTTTACTGAGCTGTCACAGTATGTTTCCCATTATAATTTTTCTTCCAAACCTAGGCTTTTTAAGGACAGTAATTGTGATACTTTTATTGATATATATACACACATAAAATTTCTATTTTTAGACCAGGTGCAGTGGCTCACGCCTGTAATCTCAGCACTTTGGGAGGCCGAGGCGGGCAGATCACTTGAGGTGAGGAGTTTGACAACAGCCTGGCCAACATGGTGAAACCTTGTCTCTACTAAGAATACAAAAAATTAGCCGGGCGTGGTGGCGGGCACCTGTAATCCCAGCTTCTTGGGAGGCTGAGGCAGGAGAATTGCTTGAATCCGGGTGGCGGAGGTTGCAGTGAGCCGAGATGGCACCACTGCACTCTAGCTTGGGCGACAGAGTGAGACTCTGTCTCAAAAAAAAAAAATTCTGTTTCTAAATATAATCTAATTTTGTTCAATGGTTACATTTTCTTTTTGTGTGTGTGTCCATCTCTGTTTAGAACATTATGGGACCTGATTTTTCTAAATTTAGTCTCAACCTATACATGAAATGGAAACTCTGAAGGTTTATGAGACCTGATTTTAGGGAAAGATGAAGAAACACATTATTTAGCCTGACAGAAAAAGATATCTGAAGGATAATTATCTCTCAGCTTCCATATTATAATATTGCTCCAAAATAGTTGCATTTTATTTTCTAGTTTACCCAGAAGAAAATACTTCATATGAGATACATATATAGTAAAAGTGAGTCATTCCATTTTCCATCCTCCTTTTTTTTAATGGTTGTTTTGTCTAAGACACCAGGTGTCTGCTCCCTGACTAATCAGACTCACCATTCCAGATCTTTTAATTTTATTTAATGCCTTTGTGTTTCCCTTGACTATAAATGTTTCTGTTTATCTTGCACTTCCTCTTCATGTATTGAAGATATCAATAACAGAGTGAAAGCTAGCAAGCTTGTAATATATTTAACATGGCAGGAGAAACAAACATGTTGGCATTTATTCTGGCCTAAGAAAAAGGAGCAGGGTTTTGCTGAAAGGAGTTATTTGTTAACTTTGGTAGAACTCTTGACCTCAAGTGATCAACCCACCTCGGCCTCCCAAAGTGCTGGGATTACAGGCATGAGCCACCATGCCTGACCCCATCTTGATATTTTGATCATCTTCCAAAAAGCATCATAACAGCTTTTATTTCATGTGATGTATTACCTCTTGCTGCCTGCAGTTTAAAGGATAATGCATTTTTAAACCAAAGAGGCTTCATATCCAAAATAATTGTCTGTAATTCCATTTCAGATATGGCTTTTTGTTGTTGTTGTTGTATATTAGACCAGTGCTTTTCTACCTTTAGTGCAATATGAATCACCTAGACATTTGATTAAGATGTAGATTCTGATTCATTGGTCTGGGGTGGAGTCAGTCTCTCAAATGAAGTCAGGCTTTGTGTTTCAGTAGTTGTGGCCTTCTGCCCTTTTGGGAGGAGAACGTTCTCAGAAAGATTCTTTTTACTGAATATTGAGATCTCTGATCTACCCATCCCCAACACTCATTCAAATGCATTCCCAGCTGGTAGATCCTGCTGTGTAAACAGAGGCCAAGTTGATGATTCCTTTGGTGTCTTTCATGCCTGTAAGGTAATTTGCCTTCTTTCCGCCTCCTGAGGGAAGGAGGGCTACCTCAAGTTCTTGGGCAGGCTAGCCTTGTGCCTGGGTCAATAGGTGGGCAGGCCTGGGACCTGGGTCCATGGGGGTGGGTCTGGAGCCTGGGCCCACTGGGACAGGTCTGGATCTTGGGTTTGAAGGACTAGACCCCGGGTCCATGGGGGAAACCTGGTGGTGAGGTCCACTGGGTGAGTCTGTTGACTGAGCTCATGGGTGCGAGCCTGGAGCATGTGTCTGTAGGGGCTGGCCTGAAGTCTGGCCAGCCTGGCCCTGGAGTGGGCCTTGAGCCTGAGTCTGTGGGGGCCAGCCTGGCACTAGGATTGTCTGGGTGCCTGGGTCCATGTGGATGGGCCTTGAGTTTGAGTCCATGGGGGTTAGCCTGGTGCTGGGGTGAGCCTGGAGCTTGAGTATGCAGAAAGAGACCTGGTTCTTGGGCCTGTGGGGACCTGTCTGGATCTTGGGTCCACAGGGGCAATCCTAGAGCCTGGATCTGTGGGGCAACCTGGCACTAGGGTTGACCAGGGTGGACTTGGACCCTGGGTCTGCTGGAATGAGCTTGGATCCTGGGTCTATTAGAGTCTGGGGTCACAGGGACCAGCCTAGAGCCTGGGATTGGCCTGGTGCTGGGGTGAGCCTGGGTCCACGGGGCTTGGTCTGGAGCCTGGGTTCACAGGTGCTAGCCTGGTGCCTAAGGCTGTGGATGCTGAGTTTACTGAGGCAGGCCTGGACTCTGAGTCTATAGAGTGGGCATGGGTCCTGGGTTTGCTGGAGCGTGGGTCCATGGGTGCTGGCCTGGAGTCTAGGGCTGTGAGGACTGACCTGGCATTCTAGTGAGCCTGGAACCTAGAGTTGTAGCGGCTGACATGGGGCTGGACTGGGCCCGGAGGCTGAGTCTTTGGGTTTCAGTCTGAATCCTGGGGCTACAGGAGCTGGCCTGGAGCCTGCGTTGGGCCTGGAGGCTGGATCCCATAGGTGTCAGCTGGAGGGGTTTGGGGCTATAGGAACTGGCCCGGAGCCTGCGGTTGGCCTGGAGGCTGGATCCCATAGGTGTCAGCTGGAGGGGTCTGGGGCTACAGGAGCTGGCCTGGAGCCCACGGTTGGCCTGGAGGCTGGATCCCATAGGTGTCAGCTGGAGGGATTTGGGGCTACAGGAACTGACCTGGAGCCCGCGGTTGGCCTGGAGGCTGGATCCCATAGGTGTCAGCTGGAGGGATCTGGGGCTACAGGAACTGACCTGGAGCCCGCGGTGGGCCTGGAGGCTGGATCCCATAGGTGTCAGCTGGAGGGGTCTGGGGCTACAGGAGCTGGCCTGGAGCCTGCGGTTGGCCTGGAGGCTGGATCCCATAGGTGACAGCTGGAGGAGTCTGAGGCTGCAGGGGCTGCTTTGATTTTCTTCTAAAAGTGTCAACAGTTATTGGTGTTGAAGGCCTGGTTGAAAATACTTCCATATGTAAACACATTTGTTTCTTTAGCAAACATTTATTCACTGTATAAAATATGCAGGGCACTGCGGGAGACATGGATGGCGATATAAAGAGGTACTGGATGTACTCACTCCTCTAAGGAAGTCCTTGTTGCCTCCAGTACATTGACCAGTCTGAGTTCATTGGTCTTCCTTCATGGTATGAGAACATCTTCAAGTCTTCTGTTTTGACTTGATTGCGGTTTGTGTATGCAACTTTACACAAAAGCATCGATAAACTTGGTCTCTGTTCGCCTCTGTTTCTCACCAGGTAGTGTCTTTAATCACTTTAATGCCATCCCAAGTTTATCATTTATACCTGTTAAAATAATTTCAGGTATCATAATAGGTTTTGTTTTTATTTTTTTATGGAAAAACTGCTGGTTATCTACCAGATATTCGCTGGGCACTTCTTTAATAAAAGAACTTCAGTTTTATTCGAGGTGGCAGTAAGCCCAGCTAAAGAATGAAATGTTCCGACTTTCTAGACATGGCCATGTGACTGAGTTCTGGCCAGTGAGAGTAAGTCCTTTAAGACTAGAGGCCTAGAGAGTCAGAGAGTGTCAGTTTTGCTCCTCTTCATCCATTTACACCATTTTTCCTCTTCCTCAAAATTGCCAGCTCCTCTGAAGCATTTGCCATTCTACTCCCCATTACCTCACCTTCCAGTTATTCCTTAACATTCATGGCTCACTTTTTCTTTCTTTATCATTACTGGCAACATCATTCTTAGCGAATTGAGCATCCATCTGACACCTGGGCTGTTTGTCCCCACTTCCAATTCTCTTTGCCTTTACCTTACCCTAGCTACCTCTTCCCATGGCCATAGCCTAGGACAGTAGCCCATGGCTATACCCATGGCCACACCCCAGCACAGTAACTATTACTTCAGATATCTCAATTTCAAGATTCCTACTTTTCAACAACTGCATGTTACAGGTATCTAGCACAGAACCTGACATCACATAATAGGCGCTTGGTGAGCATTATTGCTGTTCCTGCTATTCTGCCTCTGTCGTAGCATCAACAGTCCTTGAAAATAGGAACTGTCTTATTGATCCTTATATATCCAGAACCTACCAGAGCCATGGTACAAAAAGACTCTTAGTGTATTTATGGGACCAGTAATGAAAGAACAGCAACAATAGGAAGGATATGGCATTCAGAAGAAGGTCTTTAAAAGATAATTAACATTTTCCATTTAAAATATCACATAGTTTTTAAAAAGCATTCAAGTAATGACATTTCAAAAGTTGTTTTCTTTCTCATTTTCTCTGGGGGGAAATAGATGTTATAGTTTATTGCCATTGGGAATCTTTTTGCTTAGTCAAGGTTGATCAATTACGAATTTCCATTTCTGAGGATTATTATAAATGAGCTATAAACAGGGAGATTGCTTTTTAGTGAAATGGGTTAGTTTACCTGAAAAGAGTTAATTATCTTTTTTCTCCTGTATTGAAAACTATTCGTATTAGCCTAGTGTGTATAGGAGAGGATGAAGGTGATGCATTAAGATTTTCTCAGCCTTCCTTATTATCTAGGTAGAAAAATAAAAGTATTTAATGTACTGTATTATCTCTGAATATTTTTCTGAGATATGAGAAAAATGTGTAGAAGTTTTCCATCTATTTGGGTATGGACGTTGACTTTTCAGAACTTTTTTTTTTCTTTCTTTCTTTCTTTTTTTTTTTGAGACAGAGTGTTGCTCTGATCCTCAGGCTGGAGTGCAGTGGTGTGATCTCGACCTCCCTGGGAGGTGCAACCTCCACCTCCCAGGTTCAAGTGATTCTCCTGCCTCAGCCTCTTGAGTAGCTGGGATTACAGGTGTGTGTCACCATGCCTGACTAATTTTTGTATTTTCAGTGGAGATGAGGTTTCACCGTGTTGTCCAGGCTGGTCTTGAACACCTGGCCTTAAGTGATCCATCCGCCTTGGCCTCCCAAAGTGCTGGGATTACAGGCGTGAGCCACCATACCCGGCCTTTTCAAAACTTTTAAAAGTCAGTTGGATTAATGATTTTTCCAGAAACATTAGGTTCATTGTTATTGTATTCATATTTGGTTGCTTTCAGGCTAAGAAGTAGTTACTGTTTAGCTATACCTATGGTTACTTCTGCGAATAACTTCAACTGTTACGTTAATTCAGTAATTTTTCATTGTTAGATATGTGAAGGACCTGAAAATAACCAGGAAAAACATCCCAAGAGTTATAAACATTCAAAGCTTTATAAAATTCTGATTTTCTAGAAAGGCTAAGCTGTTTAATATATTAGTATTGTTTAATCTATTAGTTCTAAGATATTTCAAATAATATCTAGAAACAGCTTTTGAAAGTTTGCAATTTAAAAATCTTAATAATAAAACCGTGATGATAATGAGTAATAGTTACTGAGCACTCCTGTGAGCCAAGAATGATATTAAGTTTTTAAAAGTTTTATTCTTATTACACCCATGTAATGTTATTATTATTATTTATTATCATTTTAGTTCAGTGGTTTCAAGAGATTAAATTGCTTAGTATTACACAGTTGCTAAATGGTTGTATTAGTTAGGGTTCTCCAGAGGGACAGAAGTAATGGAATATATGTGTGTGTGTGTGTGTGTGTGTGTGTGTGTGTATGTATGTGTGTGTAAGTATATATATACTTAATAATATATATATAAAATATTGTTTTCTTTCTCATTTTCTCTGGGGGGAAATAGATGTTATAGTTTATTGCCATTGGGAATCTTCTTGTTTAGTCAAGGTTGATCAATTACAAATTTCCATTTCTGAGGATTGTTATAAATGAGCTATAAACAGGGAGATTGCTTTATATATATAATATATTTATATATACTATATAAATATATTATATATAATTATATATACTATATAAATATATTATATATAATATATAAAAATAATATATTAAATATATTAAATTATATATAATATATTAAATATATTATATATAATTATATATAATATATAATATATTATATTATATATATAAAGGGGAGTTTATTAAGTATATATATGTGTATATATATATGTGTGTGTGTATATATATATATATGAAGGGGAGATTATTAAGTATTAACTCACACAATCACAAGGTCTCACAATAGGCCATCTGCAGGCTGAGGAACAAGGAGAGCCAGTCCGAGTTTCAAAACTGAAGAACTTGGAGTCTGATGTTCAAGGGCAGGAAGCATTGCATGGGAGAAAGATGTAGGCTGGGAGACTAGGCCAGTCTCTCTTTTTACATTTTTCTGCCTGCTTTTATTCTAGCTGTGCTGGCAGCTGATTAGATGGTGCCCACCCAGATTAAGGGTGGGTCTGCCTTTCCCAGTCCACTGACTCAAATGTTCATCTCCTTTGGCAACACCCTCACAGACACACCCAGGATCAATCCTTCAATCCAATCAAGTTTACACTCAGTATCAACCATCACAGTGGTCAACTAAATTTTAATTCCAGGCCACGTGGCACTAGTGTAAGCTATTTAATTACAGTATTATATTCTTTCATAGTGCCTAGTTGTGAAATACAGACACAGTCTGTGAGAAATGAGTTTGTAAAACAGGCACTCAACAAATGATTAAATTCACTAAGAAAACTCAGTAGAAAATATGCAAATGCTATGAACAGGCAGTTGATAAAAGGGAAATTATGCATGGTGAATAGACATGAAAAGATGCTCAAACCCTGACCATTTGTCAAGGGAAAGCACATTGAGATAACATTTTCACCCATCAGACCGGCAGAATGTGAAATGACGGTATCAAGAGGTGATGAGATACAGATTTAGGGGAACTCTCATTATATGGCTGTGAGAGTGTAAATTCCTCCAGCTGCCTTGGAGACCTGTTTGTCAATATGCAAAATTGTTCAAGTTGTGCTTTCTTGCAACTCAGCAGTTTTACTTCTAGGAATACATACTTTAAAGAAATGGAATGAGAGTGGAGTCCGGAGGCCTCTGGGAGTACCCATGGGACTTTCAGGGATTTAAGTGAAAACTATTTTCATGATAATAATTCAGAATTATGGTTGGGCATGGTGGCTTACGCCTGTAATCGCAGCACTTTGGGAGGCTGAGGCAGGTAGATCACCTGAGGTTGGGAGTTCAAGACTAGCCTGACCAACATGGAGAAACCCTATCTCTACTAAAAATACAAAATTAGCCAGGTGTGGTGGCAGGTACCTGTACTCCCAGCTACTCGGGAGGCTGAGGCAGGAGAATCGCTTGAACCCGGGAGGCGGAGTTTGTGGTGAGCTGAGATGGCGTCATTGCACTCCAGCCTGGGCAACAAGAGTGAAACTCCGTCTCAAAAAAAAAAAAAAAAAGAATTATTTGCCTTTTTTATTCTTATTATCTCATGAGTATACTGTGGGTCTTCCAGAAGCTACATTGCAGTAGATTGAATGAAGAAACATAAAAAAAATTAGCTGCTTTCTATTAAGCCAGACATTAAAAGGATTATCAAAAAAGTAAAACATTACCACTTTCCTCACTAACTTATTTTTGTTTTGAAAAATTTAGTTATTTTTTATTAAAATATGTTGACATGTAATAGGATTCTTACTTTTGAATGAATTAATACGTTATTATTATTATTTTGAGACAAAGCCTCTGTCGCCCAGGCTGGAGTACAATGGTGTGATCTCGGTTTACTGCAACCTCTGCCTCTCGGGTTCAAGTGATTCTCCTGCCTCAACCTCCTGAGTAGCTGGGATTACAGTTGTGCGCCACCATGCCCAGATAATTTTTGTATTTTTAGTAGAGATGGGGTTTCACCATGTTGCCCAGTCTGGTCTTGAACTCCTGACCTCAGGTGATCCGCCCACCTCAGCCTCCCAAAGTGCTGGTATTACAGGCGTGAGACACCACTCCCGGCCAATACGTTATTTTTTTAACGTCTTAATTTTAATCTGTAATACATTAAATATCAGTAGAGAAGTCGACCTAAGTAAAGCCTCTTTAAGATCCTTCAGTAATTTTTAAGTCAGGACTGAGACCAGAAAGTTTTGGAAAGAATTGTATAAGTGCACAGTTCAAGTATGTGTTCATTGTAATGTTGTTTATACTGGTTTATTTATGTTTAGTTTTTTTTTTTTTTTTTTTTTAGATGGAGTGTCGCACTGTTGCCCAGGCTGGAGTGCAGTGGCGTGATCTTGGCTCACTGCAACCTTTGCCTCCTGGGTTCACACCATTCTCCTGCCTCAGCCTCCCAAGTAGCTGGGATTACAGGCACCTGCCACCACGCCTGGCTAATTTTTGTATTTTTAGTAGAGATGGGGTTTCACCATGTTGGCCAGGCTGGTCTTGAACTCCTGACCTCAGGTGATCCGCTCACCTCGGCCTCCCAAAGTGCTAGGATTTGGGCTCCCAAAGCTACTGTGCCCTGCTTGTTTATAATAGCTTAAAACATTGTTATCAACACTAATGTCCATCAATATGAACATAAGATCGGTTCTATCAATATGAAATAGCAAGACACGTAGAGAGCTGTGTGTGTATATATATGTAATACTGTAATATTTATACCATCATATTTATATCTTAATCAGACCATATCTGTTTTCCAGACATTCCTTTATCACGTGTCAAAATAGTTTTTTTGAGAAGCTAGGCATATTTCTAAGTAATAATAAAGTCCAAAACTTTATTAAGAATTGGATTTTAAGGCCAAGTGTGGTGGCTGATGCCTGTAATCCCAGCACTTTGGGAGGCTGAGGCTGGTGGACCACTTAAGGTCAGGAGCTTGAGACCAGCCTGGCCAACATGGTGAAACCCCGTCTCTACTAAAAATACAAAAATGAGCCAGGCGTGGTGGTGCACACCTGTAATCCCAGCTACTTGGGAGGCTGAGGCAGGATTGTTGCTTCAACCCAGGGGGCGGAGGTTGCAGTGAGCCGAGATCATGCCACTGCACTCCAGCCTGAGTGACAGAGCAAGACTCTGTCTCAAAACAAAAACAAAAACAACAACAATAAAAAAATTAGATTTTAGCCAGTTCACATTATTGCCGATCTTTTGACCTTAATTTTGAAGGGCAGAAATATAAGTATTAACACGTGCTGCTCTATTTGACTAGAAAATAAGCAGCATATGTAAGACTTGGTATGCTAGAATGTAGAACATCTTCGCTGTGTTCTTTCAGGACCACTGTACTGTTTACTGACAAGGAGGAAGCACCATTTTGTTACATCTTTGTGAATACACTTCCACTGTAGTGGCTTAAACAAATAGTTAACTTATTTTTCTCATCCAAAAATTGGAAGTTGGCTATTTGATGTAACAGAGTGGTGGCATTTACTCTCATGTTGTGTCTTGTGCTGAGAAGGTTGAAAATTGGTAAAAAAAAAAAAAAAAAAAAAAAAAAAAAAAGTCTCTCATTAGAAATGTAGTTCATTTTTATTATTTCCAGTAGGTATGTTTTATAAAGTTACTGTGAAAACTGAATTAGCCAATACTGAGCCATTCATTCCTCCTAGTAGATATACAGGATTAGGTTCCTGAAAGCCTCTAGTCACAACATATTTGTCACCTGATCAGTACATAACCTTGTTTTATTATGTGTTTCTTTTTAAAGACACCTTATTTTATTTTTTTTAATTTTTGCTACGGAGTCTTACTCTGTTGCCCAGGCTGGAGTGCAACAGCGCGATCTCGGCTCACTGCAACCTCCACCTCCCAAGTTCAAGCAATTCTTCTGCCTCAGCCTCCCGAGTAGCTGGAATTACAGGCATGAGCCACCATGCCCTGCTGATTTTTGTATTTTTAGTAGAGATGAGGTTTCACCATGTTGGCCAGGCTGGTGTTGAACTCCTGACCTCAGGTGATCCGCCTGCCTCGGCCCCCCAAACTGCTGGGATAACAGACGTGAGCCACGGCGCCTGGCCAGTAGAGATGGGGTTTTGCCATGTTGGCCAGGCTGGTCTTGAACTCCTGACCTCAAGTGATCCACCAACCTCGGCCTCACACTCCTGCTGGGATTACAGGCATGAGCCACTATGCCCGGCCACCTTATTTAATATATATTGTTGATTCATTAACATTGAACTCAGGGTCAGCAGCACCATAACTTATGCCTCAGTGAAGCTTATCTAAAACATGCATTTTCTCTGTGAGGCATATATTACAACTTTCTTGTGCTTAGGGACACGAGACAGCACTGTGGTACTGTGCTTAGGGGCCATATTATACAGTCAAATCGAGAAAAATGAGAAAAACAGAGCACCAAGTGGTCTGCAAAAAGGACGCTTACACTGTGAGAGCTGAGAAGGCAGTGTCTTCTTGTTTGACTTCAGCTGGGAACATACATATTGGGCGACACACATTTTTGGCCTTTCCTCTTCTGTCCACAACTGACTGCAGACATGCTGTGACTGTTGATTTTGGAGTTACAGATAAATATAAGTGAATAAGTGAATTTGCAAATATGGAATATATGAATAATGAGAAGTGAGTGTACCTGTTTACAGGTCATTAGCCAAAACCGGGCCACATGGCTTGTTCTTAGAGTGGCCAGTGCCCATGAGGGATACATTTTTTTTTTAAGTTTAGATTAATCATGATTTATTCCCCGGCTCTGGCAATCTCCTCTCCCTGAAATCAAGAGTTCTGTGTTTGCTACATCAGCAAATCACAGTATTTCTTCATGCTAGGAAAGAGTGGGGTGGTTTTTGGGTAAACAATGGACAGTGCCCACTGTGTTTCTAATTAAGTGCTTGGCATTTGGAAGGGGGTCAGTATATTTTTGTTGAAAGAATGAATCAGTGAATGAATGGCAGGGTTGTTTTGTGGAATAGCCTTTAATTTCTGTCATATCTTGCTTGTTAAAGATTTCTCCATGTCTATATTTTCAAACAAGTAATGTTTTGATTGACTAACTCCAAATCAAATAAAAGTTAATATAAAAGAATAAAGTTTTACTTTATCTGGGTGACCTTCAAGTTCATATAAGTCAAAGAAAATGATAAAATATGAACCATCAGATGAAGTTGAGACATCTTTTCAGAAAAAGGCTGAGCAACCCAAGTTCCATATGGCAAAAGCTTTTCTTCTTTTTAATAACGGTTTCTTTTCTGAAATGATTGCTTTTTATATTGTGGAAGATATTAAATCCAGAACTATTAGATTTTTGTATTTAGCATATGATACTGATTTTATTATTGTAAGTTGTCAGCTTCTCATGTTATCAAAAACTAAGAAATATTTCATTTGATAACATCCTTTGTAGCTAATGCCAGTTAGAAATAAATTCAATTAATAAAGAATATTTAATTTAAATTATGTTTGAATAAAGTATATATTTGTGTTTACTATTCTAAACATTGGAATAAATTGTAATTAAAGCTGACATACCTATCTGTCTGTCTGTCCTTCTCTCTATGCCCTGCGTTAGACTAGACACAATTTAAGGCTGTTAAATAATACATATTTCCTTTTCATTAATGTTTATGTTTATTTGATCATGGAAGTAAAATAATCTTGTTATATAAAACTGAAAAATGGAAAAAATAAAAGGAGGGGGAAATCACCCCAATTCGTATCATTTAAAGAAAAAAATCAATATTTTGGTCTATTTCTTTTCAGTCTTTTTTTTAATACATTGAAAAAACTTAATTTTACAATGTATATGTGATATGAAAATTCCTTTTGACATTCTAGGTAGCTTTTATTATTATGATTAGAATACCTTTAGGGGTGGATACATTTATTCATTGCCTGTAGATGGAGAGCAGTAAATGAAGCAGCCAGGCTTAAAGTACAGTTCTCTTCAGTTCTCTTAGAATTTTTCCTCCTCCTTGTACTTTCTGTATTTCATACTTGAGAGCATGTTGGGCCTGACTCCAAACTTTATGGAAAATGAAATGTTCTTATACATTCTAACTCCCTTTTTGTTATACTGCATTTTCTCCTCTCTCCTGACCTCAGGTGACCCGCCTGCCTCGGCCCCACAAAGTCCTTGGATTACGGGCGTGAGCCACTGCAGCTGGCCAGTAGAGATGGGGTTTCGCCATGTTGGCCAGGCTAGTCTCTAACCCCTGCCCTCAAGAGATCCACCCACTTCCGCCACCCAAAGTGCTGGGATTACAGGCTTCTTTCTAGGCTTTTTAAATGTTCAGCACTGTTATCTCCTCTTTCTGTACCTACTCTATGCAAAATCTCTATTCCTAAAATCTCAGCTAAGTGGAAAAAGGAAGTAAGATTATCTGAATAAATTAATTCATACTAAGTGCAAATGACTTGTAGTCATAGCCTTTTAGAGGGATGTCTATACTTCATCTCAAGGTATTCTTAAACTCTCTGGCTGCTACAGACATGTGCTAAAAAAATAGAATAAAAAGATATGCTCAAACTCAGATGGGTGTTTGATAAGAAAAATATCTGAGTGGTATTTTAGGGCCATGGAGAGCCTTCTCTTGGGCATACAACATGCTCACTAGAGGAGGGTCAGCAGGCATCAAAGTGCTTGCACCAACCCCCGTTAACTGTCGTTCCATGGCTATCAGCAGATGATTGACCTCTTAATAAAAATCGATGAGAATTTGTAATTAATTATAGTGCACTTGCAGCTGTAACATTTAATTCCATGTCTCTTAAGGCCTCTTCTTTGAAGGTTTCTTTACTTAGGAACTAGGCAGCATGCTAGTCTTTCTTTATAAACTTAAAGTGTCATTTTATTTTCCAAAAGAGAGAATGAATTAATTGAGATTTTGTCATTGCTTAGTTCCAAGGAGACTTGAGGCAATTTACAGTTAAAAGTTAAACAAAGTATTATACATAATTGTAAAACAGAAGAGCAAATATTTAAAGCAGGCAGAAGGAGAAGATGGCTTCAGGCCTCTTAAATGAACAAACGACTCCAATTAGTGAATTTAGCTTTTGATTTTCCCACCCCCGAAGCTGAAGTGGAAGCATGGTGCTGATGTGTTGTTTTCTAATTGGAGGAAGTAAGAGAGAGAATTTTTCTAGAGTGACAAAATATTTTCTGGAACTGAACTCAAGGTGGGCATCTGTTGCCATTTTGAAGGCTTACGTCATAGTATGTTATGAAAATATTGATCAAATATTGTTATACCTTATTTGAAATTTTACCCATGGTACTTTTTAAAAATGTATTTACTGTGATATTTGTACTAGCAATAGTTATACACCTAAAGGGTGTTTGATTTCAATCTTTGGGAAAAATCAGATTTTTTTCTTCTTCCTCATTTTTTAAAAATTATTTTAGATTTCAAGAAGACTTAGGGAAATTGAACACATCTCTTAGATGATCAGAGTTGTGTTACTAGACTAGACTGAAGAGGTTGCTTATTTAGGGACGGGTGTTGTTACTAGAAAAAACTTCCTTTTCTGCAGTTCATCTTGGTCACAGCTTTCTCCAGTCTACTCACTGTGCTCCACCTGAAAAACAAGCCAGTGTATTTTAATACCGATTCTTAATTCACTTATTTCCAATGATTAGCTGTCCGAGTGACTTACAACAGGCAGTGTATAATCTTTTAAATACTGTTAGTATGATGAGGAGAGTTTAGAACCGTGTTGTTATAAAACATAAGGACCCTGGCGTTTTAATTTGCTCCTTAGCTTGTTACAGACATTACCTTGCCTAAAGCAAACAGAATGTTAGGAGTTGTAATTGCCTTTTAATATTATTGAATATTTAATAGTCTTTTCAAATTTCATTTCTACAAATGCAACCTTCAAAAAGCATTTTTACAACTTTAAAGTTGGAGCTTCTTGAATTAGACCACTTTGAAGTCAGTTATTCTGATCACATTAAAACTTATGACTTCAGTGAATGTAGATTGAGGTATCAAATACTTAGGATACTAGTCAAAATTTGAAATTAGAGCCAAGTAGTCTGGCTACATGTGGGTTTCAAAAAGTGGTATTAATAAATGGTCTGTGTACCTGTGTGGAGATGACGACATTTGTGACACACGTAGATGTAGCTTTTTTCCGTTTTTAGTAACCATGGAAGTGATATAGAAGAAACTTTTCTGATAGAGATGGACAAAACTATCCTGAACAATTTGAGAATACACCCAGCAGCCTCAGTTTTAACTCTGCACTAAATACTTTGCTTGGTGCTGTGTTAGCAGGCGCTCCATATAGATTATCTCATAGTTTGCCTTGCAGTCCCGTGAGTAAGTCACTTATTCCCACTTTGCAGAGGAGGAAATTGAGGCTACAAGATGTTACAAGGGTACGCCCCTAGTAAGTATTGCAGGTTTTGAACCCTAAACTACTAAAACCTTTTATTTCCTTGTCCCCCAAAATAGTCCTACCATTCTCTGCCACTCACTCTTTATTCATCAGAAAGTGACATTTCCTTCACCTGAACTGGGGTCCTGTATAGTCTGTGTCACTTCTCAAAAAATGGTTTTGTATTATGGTTCATTCTGCAAGTGATGTGTGTTGGTCTGCCTTTCTTGATTGCCATCTCCAAGAAGCAGTGACTGCATTACCCTCTCCACTGTCATCCACCCGGGACGTTATGCGATGATGCCCATGGTGGCCGGTTGCTGAGCACTTGTTGAATTCACACCTGGGGTTTGTGTTTATCAGATGGCACAGGCTCCACAAGGATATTAGCTTTAGTTTAGAGGGTTGCAGACAGTGGAAGGGGAGTACTCAAGCAGCTGGTCTGCCTCTCGGATTCTAACTGGGTCCACATATTTTGCTGTGCTTTTCCCAAAGTGCTGGATTTAAGGTGCTTGTGTTTCTCCTAGGAAGGTATGGTGCCAGTGAAGTATAGATTAATTTTCCTCGAAATACTAACCATTACATTTTTTTTTTTGTTTTATACTTTGTGTTAGAAATGTGAAATAAGATGAAATGGAATGTAGAAAAAGGAATCCCAGGCTGGGTGCAGTGGCTCTAATCTAATCACGCCTCTAATCTTAGCACTTTGGGAGGCTGAGGTGGGAGGATTGCTTGAGTCCAGAAGTTTGAGACTAGCCTGGGCAACATAGGGAGACCCTGTCTCTACAAATAATTTAAAAAATTAGCCAAGTGTAGTGGCATGCACCTGTGGTCCCAGGTACTTGGGAGGCTGAGGTAGGAGAATCACCTGAGCCTGGGAGGTAGAGGCTTCAGTGAGCTGTGTTTGTGCCATTGTGCTCCAGCCTGGGTAACAGAGCGAGACCCTGTCTCAAAAATAAAAAAGAAAGAAAAATGAATCCAAATCAATTCTATTTTCCTATGAGTCTGTACAATTTTGACCACATCTACTGGTGTGTGTTAATAGCCATTTGATAGGTGGATGGTGGGTGTAATCACTTCAATTTTTAAAAATTCTGAAATTTTCCCAAAAATAACTAGGAAAAATATTCTAAGGATTATAAACATTCAAAGGTTTATAAAATTCTGAATTTGTGTACAGTGGCTAAACTAGTTAATATATTAGTATTGTTTAATCTGTTAGTACTAAGATATTTCAGATGATATCTAGAAACATCTTGAAAGTTTGCAATTTAAAAATCTTAAAATAATAGTAAAACTGTGATGATAATGAGTAATAGTTACCGAGCACTTCTGTGAACCAAGCATGATATTAAGTTTTTAAGTTTCATTTAAATCTCAGGGCCCATGTAATGTTATTATTATTATTTATGCTCATTTTAGTTCAGTGGTTTTGAGAGGTTAAACTGCTTAGTATTACACAGCTGCTAAGTGGTTGTATTAGTCAGATTTCTCTAGAAGGACAGAACTAATGGAATATCTATCTATCTTTCTATCTGTATATATGAGTTTATTAAGAATTAACTCACATGATTACAAGGTCCCAATATAGGTCATCTGCAGGCGGAGGAGCAAGGAAGCCAGTCTGAGTCCCAAAACTGAAGAACTTGGAGCCTGATGTTTGAGGGCAGGAAGCATCCAGCATGGGAGAAAGGTGTAGGTCGGGAGACTAAGCCAGTCTAGCCTTTTCACGATCTCCTGCCTGCTTTGATTCTAGCTGTGCTGGCAGCTGATTAGATGGTGCCCACCCAGGTTGAGGGGGGGTCTGCCTTTCCCAGTCCACTGACTCAAATGTTTATCTCCTTTGGCCACAACCTCATAGACATACCCAGGAACAATATGTTGCATCCTTCAATCCAATCAAGTTGACACTCAGTATTAACCATCACAGAGACTTTTAGGTAATTAAGACATGTTACTAGGAAGGAGCTCTGAATAATGAGTTGATTATATAGGAATGTGTTGTAGATGAATTTTTTTCTCTATAGGAAGTTTAAAGTGGATTCTGTGGGTCCCAGGGCTGGGGGGAATTTGGGAGTCACTAGGATTTTTTTGTTTTCTATATCCATTCCAGGAAACTTCCTTCCTACTGTCTGGTAACTGGTTTTATGGTTTTAGCACAGAGTTTCTAAACATGGACATACTCTTTCCCTCTGACACCCAAGAAGGATAGAGAGATGGTCCCTAAGATAGTACCCCCATAGTTGAGATTTGAGTGACTCAATTAATTTCACGCCCCACTTCTTAAAAATTTCTTAGAGATGGTTGTTCCTGCTATACCCATATCTAAGTTTTTAATTTGTATACTGGAAGACTGAAGAACAATTAATTTTGCCCAGTTTTTATTTTCTTTTTACATTTCAGTAGCTTAGGCTGTTGGAGAAACTAATTATGGCCCAGCCTATACCCAGAAGAGAGGACTTAACTTGTGCTCCATGAACCACTGTGTCTGGGACACTGAGTAACCTAAGAATTTTCTTTGATATGACACTCCGTTCTCTAGAGTCAGGTTTGTATGAACAAGTGATAGGGGATTCCTTTTTGCTTTTTTTGAAGAGGGTGGGTTGCTAACGATCCCATTTATTTTGGTAAAAAATAATATCAATATCTTCTCTTATTTGGTGGTACAATGCTAATATTCATCTTTGAAATGAAGGGAAAAAAGGTAAAAATCACTTTTCTCTGACTGATACATTCCTCACTTATTTTTTTAAGATTATTTTTTGGCTGGGCATGGTGGCTCACGCCTGTAATCTCAGCACTTTGGGAGGCTGAGGTGGGCGGATCACTTGAGGCCAGGAGTTCGAGAGCAGCCTGGCCAACACAGTGAAACCCCATCTCTACTAAAATACAAAGATTAGCTGGGCGTGTTTGTGCACGCCTGTAATCCCAGCTACTCAGGAGGTTGAGGCATAAGAATTGCTTCAACCCGGGAGGCAGAGGTTGCGGTTTTTCATTCAGAAACTCCAGTTCTGGATCGACTTTTTAGACAAACACTCTGCAAACAGCATGTTCTCTACCTTTCTGAGACCACCATACTTTGCCTTAAAATATGCACAATTTCTGTCATCTTCAAATTTAGTTTATATTTATTGGTTGCACAAGAGAAACAAAACCAAATAATTTTGGAGTTGGAAGAAAACTTATCTAACTCCTTCTCTTTTGCAATACTGGAAATTCTCTTACCTCATGTCTAGCAAATATACTTACTACTAGATTCTCCTTAAACATGTCAAGTCACTGGGAACCCTACGCTTCTCAAGGCATTGCATTAGACTTCTGAACAGTTGCTGTCACCAGAAAAATCGTTACAATTTAGGTAAAATCTGCCCTCCTCTAACTTCCATTCACTATTTCTTGTTTTAGCCTCTGAAGCTACCTAAAATAAGTGGTCCTTTTTCTATAAACTGCTAATTAATTATGTTTTTGATTTGACATAGACATTTCTCTTTTTTTCCCCAAAAAATACGGCTTTGTTGTTCAATTTGAAATGACATGTGGTGATTTTTTTTTTTTTTTTTTTTTTGAGATGGAGTCTCGCTCTGTCGCCCAGGCTGGAGTGCAATGACATGATCTTGGCTCACTGCAACCTCCACCTCCCAGGTTCAAGCGATTCTCTTGCCCCAGCCTCCTGAGTAGCTGGGATTACAGGCACACACCACCATGCCTGGCTAATTTTTGTATATTTAGTAGAGACAGGGTTTCACCATGGTCAGGCTGGTCTCAAACTCCTGACCTCGTGATCCGCCCACCTCAAAGTGCTGGGATTACAGGCGTGAGCTACCGTGCCTGGCCAATTTTGTTTTTGAGATGATTCTATGCTCCCCAAGCGTGTCACTGAGGTTGAAATTACAGATGTGGCCCTCTTGCTTTTTTTTTTTTTTAAGAGAAAAAGAAGGTTTTCTCGTACTGTCTGGTGGCTGTGTTTCTGCTGACCTCCTGTTCCCTCTCACTGCTGCCCAAGTATTTTCTCTGCAGGGGAGCCTGCCAGGGGGCTGCTGCTCTGAACCATGCCCCAAAGAGAAAAGCAGTAACATATCAAAGTTTCAGTAGTTGGTTTAATCAAGCACACATCACTTTTTTCTTGGACTCAACTTGCCTTTTTTTTGAAAGTAAGAATTTAGATTTATTTATTTAGTCATTTAATATGTAAAAACAATCCCAAACATTTAAATAACTCATGTTAAGGAATTGCCATCACACCTTAAATGACACATAAATTATTCAAGTACTCTGAATTATCTTGTTAGTTAGTTTACCAAACTTCTGTGTCAACATTTATTATAGCGTTTTTTTGGTAGCTATGGGAGGGAGGAGGAAATGAAGGATTGATATTTGCTAGGTGTTCATCACCTGAGCTTCTTAGGTATCTTGATTCTGCTCGTTATTTTTTAAAATCAAGAACAAACATTTTGTATGTACTTGTGGATCTTTATTTTTAGCCAACAGACATAGCCTCTGATTAACTTAGACAAGAGAGAGGGAAGTGAGAAAATCTGAGGAGCCAGGTCTAGGGAAGGCAGGGTTCAGAGCAGCCCTGGGGAATTCATCTTAAAGAGGTTTGCTAAAGAAAGAACCCTCTCCCAGTTTTGGCTGCGGTTCTCAGATTGGCTTGGCATTCTATGCTGGACAGCTTTTGGCGATTTGGGGCCTCCTTGTTTACAGGTCTGTTGGAAGTTAAGTTGCCTTGTTTCCTACAATAAAGATACTGATTTAATTCTGCTCTCAGAACCACTCATAGTTTTTTCCACCCAGTCATATTTTGAGGTTTGTTATTGATGTTTTCCAGGGTGGGGAGTGGTGATTAGGTTTTACTGTCCTACTTTTTTTTTATGGGGAGAGTCGAGGAGATTAAAAAATTACATCACTGCCATCATTTCCCCAGAATTCCCTTGTTTTTAACCCGACTGAATCTTGAGTAATATTCTTATATTCCTAATTTTTTTTTTTTTTTTTTTTTTTTAGACAGGGTCTCACTCTGTTGCTCAGGCTGGAGTGCAGTGGTGTGATCACAGCTCACTGTAGCCTCAGTCTCTCGGGCTCAAGCCATCCTCCCACCTCAGCCTCCCAAGTAGCTGGGACCACAGGCTTGTGACACCATGCCTGGCTAATTTTTTAATTTTTTTTTTTTTTGTAGAAATGAGGGCTCACTATGTTGCCCAGACTGGTCTTATTCTTATCTTCTTTATCTACTTATTCTTTATCTTCTAGATCTATGAATTTCTGAAAGAGAATTTATAATGTCTAACTCTTATATGGTACCTGCTGTATTCCAGGCCCTGCTTTAACTTATTGTATATGGGTCATTTTTTCCTTAGAGATCTGTGATGTATACTTTATAGATTTTGAGACTGGGTATATTGGTTACTTTGTATGTAACAGTTGGTGATGGAAGTCTTTTGTCACTGTGTATTGGCTTTATCTCTATTAATGCTTTTAACCTTCAAGTCTCTTTTTTTCAGAAACTTATGTAGTTACACAGGCTTTTTTTGAGTTCATATTTGTCTGAACTATCCTTTTCATTCCACCATTGCATGTCCTTTTGTTTGAAGTGTGTCTCATGAACAGCTAAGTGTTGACTTGATTGTATCCAGTTTCACTGAAGAATGGTAGTGTGGTGTGTGGTTACAATCAAGAACTCTAGGGCCCGATTGTTTGGGTTTGGCTTGTTGCTGGAGTATTGATACCTAGAAGCTAGAGTTCTGCACTTGGGGGTGGATGGAATTTTTTGATGTTGCTTTATTTAGACTTTTAACCACTCCCCATGTTTTACGTCCCATAACTCACTTCTGTTCTTTCAGGGGTGAGGTACCTGATGTATTCAAGTTCTGATTCTCTATAGGATTCCGTTTTTATCCTTTCAGTATCACCTGCCACTTTCACTTTATGGTGTGATGCCTTAGCAGTGTGTACTACTCCATCTACTTTTTATCTTTTGAAAACGTATTGAAATATCTCTAAAGTCGGCATAATAAGACTGCTTACCTTATACAGAACTGTTTCAAATTTAGTGTGAGTTAATAGATGTAAAGAGCTTCGTACTGTGCCTGTCATATCAGAAGTGCTTAGAAAGAGCTGTTCTGTTTTGTCATTGATGTTAGTATTATAGGTTGACTTTTAGAGCCCTTGACCACCTTGAAACTATACACAGTCCCGTCTGATCCTTGTCACTGTGAATTTTACCATCAGATTTATTGTTTTTATTTTACAATTCAGGTTTTTTTTTTTTTTTTTGGCTTACAACCACACGCATTTATTACCTTACAGTCCTGGAGCTCACAAATCTGAGATGAGTCTTATGGGACTAAAATCCAGATGTTGGCTTCCTCTGGGAAGCTCCAGGGAAAATCTGTGTCCTTGCCTTTTCCAGCTTGTCCTGCATCCCTTGGTTCAGTGTCTTCCTCCATCTTCAAAGCCAGCAACTGACCATCTTCCAGGTTCTTTTTCTCAGATCCCAGCACCACATTGACTTCTCTGACTCTAAGCCTCCTGCCTCTCTCTCTTTTTTTCTTTTTCCTTTTTATTTATTTATTTTTTTATTGATCATTCTTGGGTGTTTCTCACAGAGGGGGATTTGGCAGGGTCATAGGACAATAGTGGAGGGAAGGTCAGCAGATAAACAAGTGAACAAAGGTCTCTGGTTTTCCTAGGCAGAGGACCCTGCGGCCTTCCGCAGTGTTTGTGTCCCTGGGTACTTGAGATTAGGGAGTGGTGATGACTCTTAACGAGCATGCTGCCTTCAAGCATCTGTTTAACAAAGCACATCTTGCACAGCCCTTAATCCATTCAACCCTGAGTGGACACAGCACATGTTTCAGAGAGCACAGGGTTGGGGGGTAAGGTCACAGATCAACAGGATCCCAAGGCAGAAGAGTTTTTCTTAGTACAGAACAAAATGAAAAGTCTCCCATGTCTACTTCTTTCTACACAGACACGGCAACCATCCGATTTCTCAGTTTTTTCCCCACCTTTCCCCCTTTTCTATTCCACAAAACCGCCATTGTCATCATGGCCCGTTCTCAATGAACTGTTGGGTACACCTCCCAGACGGGGTGGTGGCCGGGCAGAGGGGCTCCTCACTTCCCAGTAGGGGCGGCCGGGCAGAGGCGCCCCTCACCTCCCGGATGGGGCGGCTGGCCGGGCGGGGGGCTGACCCCCCCACCTCCCTCCCGGACGGGGCGGCTGGCCTGGCGGGGGCTAACCCCCACCTCCCTCCCGGACGGGGTGGCTGCCGGGCGGAGACGCTCCTCACTTCCCAGACGGGGTGGCTGCCGGGCGGAGGGGCTCCTCACTTCTCAGACGGGGCGGCTGCCGGGCGGAGGGGCTCCTCACTTCTCAGACGGGGCGGCCAGGCAGAGACGCTCCTCACCTCCCAGAAGGGGCGGTGGGGCAGAGGCGCTCCCCACATCTCAGACGATGGGCGGCCGGGCAGAGACGCTCCTCACTTCCTAGATGGGATGGCGGCTGGGCAGAGACGCTCCTCACTTTCCAGACTGGGCAGCCAGGCAGAGGGGCTCCTCACATCCCAGACGATGGGCGGCCAGGCAGAGACGCTCCTCACTTCCCAGACGGGGTGGCGGCCGGGCAGAGGCTGCAATCTCGGCACTTTGGGAGGCCAAGGCAGGCGGCTGGGAGGTGGAGGTTGTAGCGAGCCGAGATCACGCCACTGCACTCCAGCCTGGGCACCATTGACCACTGAGTGAACGAGACTCCGTCTGCAATCCCTGCACCTCCGGGAGGCCGAGGCTGGCGGATCACTCGCGGTTAGGAGCTGGAGACCAGCCCGGCCAACACAGCGAAACCCCGTCTCCACCAAAAAAATACGAAAACCAGTCAGGCGTGGCGGTGCGCGCCTGCAATCGCAGGCACTTGGCAGGCTGAGGCGGGAGAATCAGGCAGGGAGGTTGCAGTGAGCCGAGATGGCAGCAGTACAGTCCAGCTTCGGCTCGGCATCAGAGGGAGACCGTGGAAAGAGAGGGAGAGGGAGACCGTGGAGAGGGAGAGGGAGAGGGAGACCGTGGGAAAGGGAGAGGGAGAGGGAGAGGGAGAGCTATAATTCAGGTTTTTAAAAATATCTGCTTTTTTGTCACCCAGGTGATTTGGGGGAGATAGTTAAAGCATCTCAACTCAGCATGTCTAAAGTAGTAATTGAATTAAATGGAATTTTAAAACCATTTCTCAGGAGGAGTATATTCATAATTAAACTATATGATAATTTAAGACAAAATTTGTATATTTGAAGGGTATAAAATACTTTTAACCAGTTTATGGACTGGATTTGAATTTGATATGGAGAGATCAGTATCTATGAAGTGAAGTAGGGCACTTAAAATGGTTAAAATAGTGAATTTTATGTTACGTATATTCTACCAAAGTTTTTAAAAAGGACATTTTTTTGTGGGGGCGGTGCTGGGGGTGCGTACCACAGCATTCTCCTGTAGTACATGGAGATCTATGGGTCCAGGGCCATGCGTTATTATTTTTTTCTCTGAGATTCTTTTTCTTTTTTAATTTCAATAGGTTTTTGGGGAGCAGGTGGTGTTTGGTTGCATGAATAAGCTCTTTAGTGGGGATTTCTGAGATTTTGGTGTATCCATCTCCTGAGCAGTGTACACTGTACCCAATGTGTAGTCTTTTATCCCTCACCCCTTCCCAACGTTTCTCCTGAGTCCCCGATGTCCAGTGTATCATTCCTATGCCTTTGCATCCTCATAGCTTAGCTCCCACATATGAGTGAGAACATACGATGTTTGGTTTTCCATTCCTGAGTTACTTTACTTAGATTAATGGTCTCCAATTCCATCTAGGTGGCTGCGAATGCCATTATTTTGTTCCTTTTTATGGTTGAGTGTTATTCCATGGTGTATATATATACCACATTTTCTTTATCCATTTGTTGACTGATGGGCATTTGGGCTGGTTCCATATTTTTGCAATTGCAAATTGTGCTGCTATAAATGTGTATGCAGGTATCTTTTTTGTATAATGACTTCTTTTCCTTTTGGTAGAATACCCAGTAGTGGGACTGCTGAATCAAATGGTAGATTTACTTTTAGTTCTTTAGGAATCTCCACTGTTTTCCATAGTGGTTGTACTGGTTTACATTCCCACCAACAGTGTAAAAGTGTTCCCTTTTCACTGCATCTGTGCCTACGTCGATTATTTTTTTGATTTTTTGATTATGGCCATTCTTGCAGGAGTGAGGTGGTATTACATTGTGGTTTTGATTTGCATTTCCCTGATAATTAGTGATGTTGAGCATTTTTCCATATGCTTGTTGGCCATTTGTATATCTTCTTTTGAGAATTGTCTGTCCATGTCTTTAGCCCACTTTTTGATGGAACTGTTTTGTTCTTGCTGATTTGTTTGAGTTCTTTGTAGATTCTGGATATGAGTCCTTTGTCGGATGTATAGATTGTGAAGATTTTCTCCCACTCTGTGGTTTGTCTGTTAACTCTGCTGATTATTTCTTTTGCTGTGCAGAAACTTTTTGGTTTAATTAAGTCCCATCTATTTATGTTTGCTTTTGTTGCGTTTGCTTTTGGGTTCTTTGTTATGAAGTCTTTGCCTAAGCCAATGTCTAGAAAGGTTTTTCCGATGTTATCTTCTAGAATTTTTATGGTTTCAGGTCTTAGATTTAAGTCTTTGATTCATCTTGAGTTGATTTTTGTGTAAGGTGAGAGATGAGGATCCAGTTTCATTCTTCTATAGGTGGCTTGCCAATTGTCCCAGCACTATTTGTTGAATAGGGTGTCCTTTCCCTACTTTATGTTTTTGTTTGCTTTGTTGAAGATCAGTTAGCTGTCAGTATTTGGGTTTGTTTCTGGGTTGTCTATTCTGTTTCATTGTGCCTATTTTTATAACAGTACTATGCTGTTTTGGTGACTGTGGCCTTGTAGTATAGTTTGGAGTTGGATAATGTGATGCCTCCAGATTTGTTCTTTTTGCTTAGTCTTGCTTTGGCTATGTGGTCTCTTTTTTGGTTCCGTATGAATTTTAGGATTTTTTTTTTCTAGTTTTGTGAAGAATGATAGTGGTGTTTAGATGGGAATTGTATTGAATTTGTAGATTGCTTTTGGCAATATGGCCATTTTCACAATATTGATTCTACCCATCCATGAGCATGGGACATGTTTCCATTTGTTTGTGTCATCTGTGTTTTGTAGTTTTCCTTATAGAGGTCTTCACCTCCTTAGTTAGGTGTATTCCTAAGTATTTTATTTTATTTTATTTTTTTGCAGCTATTGTAAAAGGGATTGAGTTCTTGATTTGATTCTCAGCTTGGTTGCTGTTGCTGTATAGCAGAGCTACTGATTTGTGTACATCAATTTTGTATCCTGAAACTTTGCTGAATTCATGTACTAGTTCGAGGAGCTTTTGGATGAGTCTTTGGGGCTTTCTAGGTATACAATCATATCATCAGCAAACAAACAGCAGCAGTTTGACTTCCTCTACTAATTTGGATACCTTTGATTTCTTTCTCTTGTCTGATTGCTCTGGCTAGGACTTCCAGTACTATGTTGAGTAGAAGTGGTAAAAGTGGGCATCCTTGTCTGATTTCATTTCTCAGGGGGAATGATTTCAACTTTTCCCTGTTCAGTGTAATGTTGGCTGTGGGTTTGTCTTAGATAGCTTTCATTACCTTAAGGTGTATCCCTTCTATGCCGATTTTGCTGAGGGTTTTAATCATAAAGGAATGCTGAATTTTGTCAAATGCTTTTTCTGCATCTATTGAGATGATCATGTGATTCTTGTTTTTAATTCTGTTTATGTGGCATATCACATTTGAGTTATGGATGTTAAGCCATCCGTGCATCCCTGGTATGAAACCCGCTTGATCATGATGAATTATCTTTTTGATGTGCTGCTGGATTCAGTTAGCTTGTATTTTGTTGAGGAATTTTGCATCTGTGTCATCAGGAATATTGGTCTGTAGTTTTAATTTTTTGTTAACTCCTTCCCTGGTTTTTGTACTAGGGTGATACTGGCTTCAGAGAATGATTTAAGGAGGATTCCCTTTTTCTCTATCCTCTGGAATAGTGTCAATAGGATTGATACTGGTTCCTCTTTGAATGTCTGACAGAATTCAGCTGTGAATCCTTATGGTCCTAGACTTTTCTTGTTGGCAATTTTTAAAGAATTACTATTTCAGTCTTGCTGCTTGTTATTGGTCTGTTCAGAGTTTCTATATCTTCCTGGTTTAATTTTGGAGGGTTGTATATTTCCAGGAATTTATCCATCCCCTCTAGGTTTTCTAGTTTAGGCACATAAAGGTGTTCATAGTAGCCTTGAATAAACTTTTGTATTTCTGTGGTATCAGTAATATTTCCCATTTCATTTCCAGTTGAGCTTATTTGGATCTTCTCTCTTCTTTTCTTGGTTAATCTTGCTAATGGTCTATCAGTTTTATTTATCTTTTCAAAACCAGCCTTTTGTTTCATTTATCTTTTGCATTTTTTTTGTTTGTTTCAATTTCATTTAGTTCTTCTCTGATCTTTGTTATTTCTTTTCTTCTGCTGCATTTGGGTTTGGATTGTTCTTGTTTCTCCAGTTTTGTGAGGTGTAGCCTTAGATTGTCTATTTGTGCTCCTTCAGGCTTTTCGATGTAGGCATTTAATGCTCCGAACTTTCTGCTTAGCACCGCTTTTGCTGTATTCCAGAGGTTTTGATAAGTTGTGTCACTGTTATTGTTCAGTTCAAAGACTTTTTAAATTTCCATCTTGATTTCATTGTTGACCCAACAATCATCCAGGAGCAGGTTATTTAATTTCCATATATTTGCATGGTTTTGAGGGTTCCTTTTGGAGTTAATTTCCAATTTTATTCCACTGTGGTCTGAGAGAGTACTTGATATAATTTCGATTTTCTTAAATTTACTGAGACTTGTTTTGTGCCCTATCATATGTTCTATCTTGGAGAATTTTCCATGTGCTGATGAATAGAATGTACATTCTGCAGTTGTTGAGTAGAATGTTCTGTAAATATCTGTTAAGTCCATTTGTTCTAGGGTATAGTTTAAGTCCATTGTTTCTTTGTTGACTTTCTGTCTTGATGACCTATCTAGTGCTGACAGTGGAATAATAAAATCCCCCACTATTATTGTGTTGCCGTCTATCTCATTTCTTAGGTCTATTAGTAATTGTTTTATAAATTTGGGAGCTCCAGTGTTAGGTGCATATATATTTTGGATTGTGATATTTTACTGTTGGACTAGTCCTTTTATTGTTATATAATGTCCCTCCTTGTTTTGTTTAACTGCTTTTGCTTTAAAGTCTGTTTTGTCTATAAGAATAGCTACTCCTGCTTACTTTTGGTGCCCATTTGCATGGAATGTCATTTTCCACCCCTTTACCTTAAGTTTATGTGAGTCCTTATGTGTTAGGTGAGTCTCCTGAAGACAGCAGAAATTTAGTTGGTGAATTCTTATCCATTCTGCCATTCCATATCTTTTAAGTGGAGTATTTAGGTCATTTACAGTCAATGTTAGTATTGAGATGTGAGGTACTATTCCATTCATTGTGCTGTTTGTTGTCTGAATACCTTGTGTTTTTTTTATTGTGTTATTGTTATGTAGGTCCTGTGAAATTTCTGTTTTAAGGAGGTTCTATTTTGGTGTATTTCGAGGATTTGTTTCAAGATTTAGAGTTCCTTTTGGCAGTTCTTGTAGTGCTGGCTTGGTAGTGGCGAATTCTCTCAGCATTTGTCTTAAAAGACTGTATCTTACTTCATTTATGAAGCTTAGTTTTGCTGCATACAAAATTCTTGGCTGATAATTGTTTTGTTTAAGGAGGCTAAAAATAGGACCCCAATCCCTTCTAGCTTATAGGGTTTTGTTACAGAGGGGGTTCATAGATATCATGCAAGAAATAATTCAGGGTGAGTCCATAGAGTAAAGTGAAAGCAAGTTTATTAGGAAAGTAAAGGAACAAAAGAATGGCTACTCCATAGAGCAGCCCCGAGGCCTGCTGGTTGTCCATGTTTATGGTTATTTCTTGATTATATGCTAAACAAGGGGTGAATTATCCATGCCTCCCCTTTTTTGACCATATAGGGTAACTTCCTGACGTTGCCATGGCATTTGTAAACTGTCATGGCACTGATGGGAGTGTAACAGTGAGGACCACCAGTGACCTCTGGTCACTCTTATCACTATCTTGGTTTTGGTGAGTTTTAGCAGGCTTCCTTACTGCAACCTGTTTTATCAGCAGGGTACTTATGACCTGTATTGTGTGCCGACTTCCAGTCTCATCCTGTGACTTAGAATGCCCTAACTGTCTGGGAATGCAGCACAGTAAGTCTTAGCCTCATTTAACTCAGCTCCTATTCAAGATAGAGTTGCCCTGGTTCACATGCATGCCTCTGACAGTTTCTGCTCAGAAATCTGCTGTTGCTCTGATAGGTTTTCTTTTATAGGCTACCTGATGCTTTTGCCTCACAGCTCTTAAGAGTCTTTCCTTCATCTTTGCTTTGGATAACCTCTTGACTGTGTGTCTAAGTGATGAGTTTCCCAGGTGTTCTTTGAGCTTGTATTTGGATGTCTAGATCTCTAGCAAGGTCAGACAAGTTTTCCTTGATTATTCCCTCAAATAATGTTTCCAAACTTTTAGATTTCTTTTTTTTGTCTTGGGAACACCAATTATTCTTAGATTTGCATGCTTAACATAGTTCCAAACTTCTTGGATGCTTGGCTCATTTTTAAAAATTCTTTTTTCTTTGTCTTTGATGGATTGGGTTAACTCAAAAGACTTGTCTTCAAGCTCAGAAGTACTTTTTTCTGCTTGTTCGATTCTGTTGCTGAGACTTTCCAGTGCATTTTGCATTTCTCTAAGTGTTTCTTTGATTTCTAGAAGTTGTGATCATTTTTTATTTATGCTATTTCACTGAAGAATTTTCCTTTCATATTCTGTATCAGGTTTTCGATTTCTTTAAGTTGGAGTTCACTTTTCTCTGGTGCCTCCTTGATTAGCTTAATAATTAACCTTCTGAATTCTTTTTCTTGCAATCCGGATATTTTATCTTGGTTTGGATCCATTGCTGGTGAGCCGGTGTGATCTTTTGGGGGGTGTTAAAGAGCTTGTTTTGTCATATTACCAGAATTGTTTTTCTGGTTCCTTCTCATTTGGGTGACTGTGTCAGAGGGGAGACATGGGACTCAAGGGCTGCTGTTCAGATACTTTTGTTCCAAGGGGTTCTCCCTTGATGTGGTGTTCTCCCTCCTCCCCCAGGGATGGAGCTTCCCAAGAGCCAAACTGCAGTGATTGTTTTTGCTCTTCTGGGTCTAGCCACCCAGTGGAGGTACTGGGCTCTGGGCTGGTACTGGGGAGTGACTGCTAAGAGTCCTGTGATCTGATGGAGGTAGCAGGGGCGTGAAGTGGACTCTACAAGGGCCCTTGGTTGTATTTTTGTTTAGTGTGCTGGTTTTGTGTTGGTTGGCCTCCAGCCAGGAGTTGGTGCTTTCAGGAACACATCAGCTGTGGTCCTACAGGGAGGAAGCAAACTTGCCCTAAGGTCGCCTGGTTACCTATTCAGGTTTCTTAGGTGGTAGGCAGGGCCATAGAGCTCCCAAGAGATTATGGCCTTTGTCTTTGGCACCCAGGGCTGGTAGAGAAAGACCACCAGGGGGCAGGGATAGGTGTGTCTGAGCTCAGATTCTCCTTGGCTGGGGATTGCTGCGGCTGCTGTTGGGATGGGGATGTGGTTTTCAGTCTAATGGAGTTATGTTCCCAGGGTGATTATGGCTGCTTCTGCTGGGTCACACAGGCTGCCAGAGAAGTGGGGGAAAGCCAGCAGTCACAGGCCTCATCCCACTCCCACACAGCCCGCAGTCCTAAAGGCTGGTCTCACTCCCACCGTGCCCCCACAGCAGCACGGAGTCTGTTTCCAGGCAGCTGGTGACTGTGGCTGAGAACTTGCCCCAGACCGCCAGCCTCCCTGCTGAGCAAGCAGGCAGCTCACATCTTTTCAGAGTCTCAGGGAGCCTGCAGTGGCGATACAGTTCCTTCAGAGGGTCTGTGGATTCTCTTAGTTTACCTGGTATGTTGCTGTGGCAGTTGTTGGATCAAAAGTTCACAGTGTGAGTCCCCACACGCTGCTCTGTCTGTCCGATCGGGAGCTGCAAGCTGGTCCTGCCTCTTCCCCGCCATCTTCTGTCAGACAAAAGGACTTAGTTTTTCTATCAGTGTCTCACATGGAAGGTTCAAGAGGAGGCTCATCAGTGTGAAAATCCAAATCTTAAGGGACTGTACATAATGGAGTAAACAGAACATACGGGTGTCCGTATGTTGACTTATGTTTTCTTTCTTCAACTATGTACTATGTTTCCCACTCATTTCTTAATGCAGAATTAATTTTTTTCCCCACAGGAAGGAAAAGCTGATGCGATGCTCTCAGTGCCGCGTCGCCAAATACTGTAGTGCTAAGTGTCAGGTAAGACTTTTCAGCCATATATAAGTGAAGCTTTCAAATTCTTTACTCTTAAATTTGTCCTTCACTATACCTGTTGGCCTGTGTCTACTTCTTTACAGCCTTTAATTTACTTTTACTTGTTATTCACCTGCTGAGTCACACAGGTTGCCAGGGACATTAAAATGTTAAAACTGATGTTAAATATATATGGTTAAAAATTGGGTGTGTGTGTGTATATGTCTACTATGTGAAAGTAAATGTCTATTCCTCCCCATCTTATTGCCCCCCGACTTCAATTCTCATTTCCACAGGCAATCACTGTTAAGTTTCTCATGTGTCTTTGCAGCATTTGCTTGTGCAGACATATTTGTGTATCTACATCCTATGTTTAAAAAAAAAAAGATATAGTTTAATCTGGCATGAATTCTTGTGTACTTTTTTTTTTTCATTTAACGATCTACTTTGGGGAACATTTTGTATCCCATATGTTTCATTGTATGAATTGACCATAATAATAATTTCTTTGTTAATGAATGCTTGGCACTTTTCTAATATTTGGTATTGCCAATAATGCACTTCACATCCTGTTTTGCACATTTTGCACACTTCCCCAAATTATTAGTAGGATAAATTCTTATTGTATTGATTGTTGAAAGGATATATGCCTTTTGAATTTTTAAAGATAATGCCAAATATCCTGCCAAGAGTTTGAGTTAATTTACGAGTACTGTTGTTAACATCTTTGAAATTCTTGAAAGGATGTATAATTAACATTCAGCATGACCTTTTCTTCTAACCTTATGATTAATCATTTAATAAGAAATGTAATTATGTCCTAATGAGTTACATCTTATTAAAAGTCTAATTAGAGGTTTTGTGTCTATGTCACTTGCCTCCTCCCTGCCACCCTCCACTCATCCTTTTTGTTTCTTATGTTTTGTATATGCACACACACCTCCAGAGTTTCTTCTTTCCTTCTTTTAAATTTAGGCCATGCTTGTCTCAGGGGTTTTCTTCTCTCTCATTTTATCCTTTGAAAGTAATTTGAGACGACACAAAAAGTGGTCTTAATGGAAAAGAAATCAAAAGTTCAAAAATATCAGGGGTTCCAGGTTCTCATGCTAATTCTGGCATTTGCTGGTTAAATTATCTCAGGGAAAACACACACTGTGTGGGCCTCAGTTTCTGAATCTGTACTAACAATAAGAGTTAATATTTATTAGGCATCCACTGTGTGCCAGGCACTGTATTATTCCATTTGATTTTCCAAGAGTCTTGTGAGAATTAGGTACTATTATTATTTTTATTTTATTAATAAGGACAATGAGGACAGAGAGACAGCCAACTTGCCAAATATTCTGTAACTAGTAGGCTCTGAAGTTTCAGGAATGAAACCCAGGTATTCAGACTTTTAACTGCTCTTTTAAACCTAAATTCTGTTCTTGCTCTAACATTCTGATTAGGTCTAGTTTTCCATTATATATTGTATTATTCTTTTGTTTCTTGGCTTTTGGGTTTTTATTTGGGGACAGTCTTGCTTTGTCTCTTGGACTGGAGTGCAGTGGTGTTATCAAGTTCACTGCAGTCTTGAAATCCTGGGTTCAAGCGGTCTCCCTGCCTCTGCCTCCTGAGCCACTGGGACTACAGGTACGTGCCACCATGGCCAGGTAATTTAAAAAAAAATTTTAATGGAGACGAGATCTCACTGTTTGCCCAGGCTGATGTTAAACTCCTGAGCTCTAGTGATCCTCCTGCTTTGGCCTCCCAAAGTGCTGGGATTATAGGTGTCAGCCACTGTGCCCAGCCAGTATAACACTTTCTAATTAAAATAGGATAGGAAATTTCAAAACAATAATATTATTTCTACCTCATTTTTTAAACAAAAGTTTTGTCGAAGCTAGAAAGATCCCTGATTTATGTAAGATTGTTACCAACAAGAGTAACTAAAAGCAAAAAGTGAAACATTAATACTGCTTTTTATACAGTATTCGTTCCAGAAAGCTTGGTTTATGGTGATGTTCTAGGTGTTTTATTCACGTGAAGCTCAGCTATTTGTTTCTAGGAACTTCAGATTAAACAGAGTACATAGAGAAGCGACAGATTATCATATTATTTGACACAAGTCTAGGCAAACTTGCTTTCTAATCTCAATGACCTAAACAGTTTATTAATAAAACACTTAATAAACAGTTTACTTAATAAAACATTTTTTTCCCCTGTTTTGTGACTATTTTTCCTCTAGTGCCACATCATCCTTTTGTAGTACACTCAGGGAAGAGAAAAGCCATTATCTGATTAGAATGAGTAGCAGGAGTTTGGTGGGTGGGTATGTCATTTTGATTACCTGTAGTGCATGTGTTTTTACTACATATATTAGCTGTTTACTGTGGCATCAATAACAATGTCACTGTCAGATATACTGTGGAAGGTAACAGGAAAACAGCTAGCAAGATGAAGGATATATGTAATAACAGCTAGAGTATGTGTTTGTGTGTGTGGAGGGGGAGTTAAAGATTGGCCAGAACATATGCGTTTAAACTGCTGTGTTTATCTCAACCTTAAAATACAACATTAAACATTGTAATTATTGTGGATACCCACAAAACTACGCAAAATTAAATGACATACTGAACTGTGAACAGTGATGAACAGAACGCAAAAGCACTTGGAATGGAAATTGAAACAGAGGATGTAAATCTGTAGTATAAAATCCATAATATGTATACCCCAGGGGGACATGATTTTGGTTCACTAGCTTAGCATTTGATGTGTGGGACCATGGCATCAAGTTGTCTGAGAGAGGCTATTGGGGTATTGCAGGTGTAACATGTACCTTGTGCCCACAGGATGGTGTCAGTGCTATTGGTATTCACATTTCTTTCTTTATGTTTTTTTTTTTTTTTTTTTTTTTTTTTGAGACAGAGTCTTAGTCTGCTGCCCAGGCTGGGGTGCAGTGGTGCCGTCTCAGCTCCCTGCAACCTCCACCTCCCAGGTTCAAGCAATTCTTGGGCCTCAGCCTCCCCAGGTAGTTGGGACTACAGGCATGTGCCACCACGCCCAGCTAATTTTTTCTATTTTAGTAGAGGTGGGGTTTCATCATGTTGACCAGGCTGCTCTCAAGCTCCTGATCTCAGGCAGTCTGCCAGCCTTGGCCTCCCAAAGTGCTGGGATTATAGCCGTGAGCCACCGCATCTGGTGCACATTTCATTTTTAAACATAAGCAATACAAGGATATGTTTTTATTATAAAAACACCATATAGAATCATACAGGGTAAAACATAAAAGTCTTTCCCCAGCTTCCTTCCCCCGCTTCTACTTCTGTTTTTCAGAGATAATCCATATGTGTCTATTTTATGGATGGAGGATATACACCAAACTATTGGTTTATGCATCATATATAGCGTACACATCGACATATGTATTTACTCCTGTGTACAGTACTGTTTCTGTTACTGGTCAAAATATTTTTGTCATCACTGGCTTTATATTCTGGTCTATACCTTATTATCAGGTGTCTATCATATAATTTCATAGAAGGAGGTCCAGTCTTTTTTCTCTATTGCTATAAACAGAACATCACACATGATTATGAGATCAAAGAGGAGGAGCAGGCTAAAATTTCTTATAAAAAAGCATTTTCAAAACAAAAAATGGCAGCAGTGGTGATAGCAAGTAAGTCAATTTCAAGTAATTCACCAAGTATTATTTTACCTTTTGAGGATTTAATATGATTGATAATATATACATTTCTAGTTGAATGAATTAATTGCTGAGCAAAATAAGGAGTTAGGCACTCCATCAAATTGTAATTTATATACTTTTTAAAAGCACTGTATTAGCAGATACAAGCTCTATTTTATATTGATAATTATAGACCTCTTTAAAAATGTGAATCGTATTTTTGGGTTTACATTTTATGCTTAGTTGTGGAATGATTTGATTCATATTCGATGGGTAGAAAATTAATCCCACATTAGTAAGCACTTAACAGAGTGATTTAATAGGCTGGTTCTTAGACTACCATAACCAAAGCAGTGATAATGAAGGAAGTCAAGCTTTGTTTACTTCATAAATTCGGCCTGAAACTGATAGGCTTTGCACGGAATGTACTGTAGATAAGTCAGCTTTGTATCTAACTGTCAACACAAAGGGAGTACTACATGAAGTTTAAAACGATTTGGTCGTATTTCAGTTTTTGACCTCCACAGGTGTCTGGAGCCGGAAGTTTTTCTTTTCCCACTTTACCTTTGCCTGCTGTGTGATGTTATCTGCTCCTATGACTTCAAGTGGCATCTGTATATTAATCCTTCTCAAGACTCCGTCTCCAGCCTCCTTTCTCCTGATTTCCACTTGGCTGTTGCACAGGCGTCTCTGGTGTAACGTGTAAATCTGAGTACATTATCTTCCCCCAGACCCACTTCCCTTCATGTTTTCCAGCCTCAGTGAACAGTTTCACCAGCCACCCAGCAGTCTGAGTTGCCAGGTGTCATCTCCGATTCTCATCCTTTCTTGGCGACAGATCCATTTAGTCATCATGTCGTGCTGATTTTACTATTTTACTACCTAAAGATCTGAATTGGTTCCCTTCTCGTCAGCTTCTTTAGTACTACCTGTTACCATGGTCTCTTTTCTGGATTAGCTGCATTGTTAACTACGATTCTTTCCAACTTCTAATTTATTTTCTACACAGGAGTTAGAGTGATTATTATGCTCTAAGTCCTGGTGGTTGGTATGATAAGTAATAGGCAGTGAGCAAGTAAATAAGGTCCTGACTTTGATAAAGCTTCTGTTATGGAGTAGAGAGACAGTGACAAATGCCCATGATTATATGATTGAATGTGATTGGGGTGAGCACAAACTCACCTGTGAGTAGGTGGATACAGAAGGGTTTCCTGTAGAGGTGACATTTAACCTGAAATCTAGAATTAATGTAGCTCTTTCTGCTTTTCTTTTGATTAGTGTTAGCACGGTATATCTTTCTCCATCCATGTACATTTAATCTATTTATATGTAAAATGGGTTTCTTGTGGATGACATATGGTTGGGTTTTGTGTCTTGATCCACTGCGACCATTCCTGTCTTTTAATTGATGCATTTAGATCATTGATATTCAAAGTGATTATTGATATAGTTGGGTTAATATTTATCGTATCTGTTTTCTATTTGTTGCCCTTGTTATTTGTTCTGATTGTTGTCTTTCACTATTTTTTGCCTTTTGTGGTTTCAGTTGAGCCTTTTGTATGATTTCTTTTCTCTTCATTAGAACATCAGATATAGATATATCTCCTTTTTTAGTGATTGCCCCAGAGTTTGCAATATACATTTACGACGAATCCAAGTTTACTCTCAAATAACACTTTACCACTTTACAGGTAGAATGAGTACCTTAGAATAACAAAATACTTTTAATTCCTGCTCCCTCTCTTTAAAAAAAATTGTTTTAGAAATGGGATCTCTCTCTGTCACCCAGGCTGGAGTGCAGTGGCCTGAACACCCCTCACTGCAGACTTGACCTCCTCAGTTCAACTCATCCTCCTTCCTCAGCACCTCCTCAAATAGCTGGGACTACAGGCGTGCACTACCATGCCTGGCTACTTTTTGTATTTTGTGTGGGGATGGGATTTCACTATGTTGCCCAGGCTGGTCTCGAACTCCTAAGCTCAGGCAGTACACCTGCCTCAGCCTCCCAAAGTGCTGGGATTACAGGCCTGAGCCACTGTGCCCGGCCCCTGCTCCCTCTCTTATGTCATTTATTTAGCTTATACATAAACATACATAATTAAATACATTGATGCTATTAGCAGTCTTTTGAACAAACTATTATCTGTTAGATCAATTAAGAATAAGAAAAATGAAAGTTTTTATTTTACCTTCACCTATTCCTTCTTTGATTCTCATTCTTTCTTTATGTAGATCTAAGTTTCTAACCTTTATAATTTTCCTTCTCTCTACAGAATTTCTTTTAACATTTCATGCGGGTGGGTCTACTGGCAATACATTTCCTCAACTTTTGTTTTCCTGAAAAAGTCTTTATTTTCCCTTCACTTTTGAAGGGTAATTCCACAGGGTACAGAATTCTAGATTAGTAATTTTTTTTTCTCTCAGTACTTTATTTCATTCCACTCTCTTGTACATGGTTTCTGAGAAGTTGGCTATGATTCTTTGTTCCTCTATATGTAAGTTGTTTATTTTAGTCTGTTTTGTGCTGCTATAATAGAATAACTGACACTGAGTAATTTATAAAGAAAAAAATTTATTTTTATTGTTTCAAATTTATTTAATTTGTTTTCAACATTTATTTTAGATTCTGGGGGTACATGTGCGGGTTTTCTACAAAGGTATACTGTGTGATCCTGAGGTTTCGAGTATGATTGAACCTGTCACCCAAAAAGTAAGCATAGTACTCAAAAGGTAGTTTTTCAACCCTTGCACCTCCTCCTCCTTCCCCTTCCTTATATTCTCCAATGTCTGTTGTTCCCATATTTATACACTTGTGTACCCAATTTTAGCTCCCACTTGTAAGTGAGAACATACTGTATTTGATTTCCTGTTTCTGTGCTACTTTGCTTAGGATAATGGCCTCCAGCTGCATCCATTTTGTTGCAAAAGACATATATATATATATTTTTTTTTCCGAGACAGAGTCTTGCTCTGGCACCCAGGCTGGAGTGCAGTGGCACGATCTAGGCTCACTAAAACCTCTGCCTTCCACGCTCAAGTAATTCTCGTGCCTCAGCCTCCTGAGTAGCTGGGATTACAGGCACCTGCCACCATGTCTGGCTAATTTTTGTATTTTTAGTAGAGACAGGGTTTCACCATGTTGGCCAGGCTGGTCTCGAACTGCTGACCTCAGGCAATCCACCTGCCTTGGCCTCCCAAAGTGCTGGGATTACAGGCATGAGCCAATGCGCCCGGCCCAAGGGCATGATTTTATTCTTTTTTATGGCTTCATAGTATTTGATGGTGTGTGTGTATATATATATATATATAACGTTTTCTTTATTCAGTCCACCAATGATGGGCACCTAGATTGATTCCCTGTCTTTGCTATTGTGAACAGCGCAGGGAGAGACATATGGGTACATGTGTCTTTTTGGTAGAATGACTTATCTTCCTTTGGGTATATACCCAGTAATGGAATTGCTGGGTCACATGGTAGTTCAAGACTTAGTTCAAGTCTCCAAACTGTCTCCACAGTGGCTGAACTAATTTACATTCCCACCATCAGTGTATAAGTGAAGAGCGGAAATTTGTTGACTCACATTTCTGGAGGCCTGGAAGTTCTATATTAAGATGGCTATATGTAGTGAGGGCCTTCTTGCTGTGACATCACATGGTGGAAGGGCCAGGAGACAAGAGGGCATCAAATACTGGAATTAATCCTGCCCATGAGGACAGAGCCTTCATGGCTGAGTCACCTCTTAATGGTCCCACCTCTTAACACTGATATAATGGTAATTAAAGTTCAACATGAGTTTTGGAGGGTACAGACCTTCAAACCATTGCACACACCTTTCAAGTGTTTTGAGATTTTCAGAAAATGACATATTACTGAAACCATTTCAGTATCTATAAACACCTAAAACAGACATATACTTATCTTTAGCTATAAAAATCTGGCTTCTCTCAGTATTTTAAAAAACTTTTGATTTTCTGTAGTTTGAAAATGACATGCCTAAGTATAGATTTTTGGACTTTTATCCTTCTTGGTGTTCTCTGAGTTTCCTGGATCTGTGGTTTGGTGCCTGGCATTAATCTGGGAGAACTTCTCAGTCATTATTACTTCAAGTATTTCTTCTGTTCCATTCTCTCTTTATTCTTCTTCTGACATATCCTATTACACATATCTTATACCTTTATATAATCATTCCACAGTTCTTGGATATTCTGTTTTTTTTTTATAAAGTCTTTTTTTGTCTTTGCTTCTTAATGTTGGTGGTTACCATATTGAGATAATTTCAGCTCAGAGATTCTTCTCTCCAGCTACGTCCAGTCTGCCAATAAGATATCAAAGGCATTCTTTATTTTTGTTGGTGTTTTTGATCTAGCAGTTCTTCTTGGTTTTTAGAATTTCTGTTTCTATGCCTATATCCCCTGTCTGTTCTTGCATGCTGTCTCCTTTTCCACTGGAATCCTTAGCATATTAATTATAGTTTTTTAAAATTCCTAGTCTGATAATTCCAACATCCTTGCCATATCTGAGTCTGGTACTAATGCTCGCTCTGTCTCTTCAAACTATGTTTTTTTGCCTTTTAGTATGTGACATAGTTTGGTTGTGTCCCCACCCAGATCTCCTCTTGAATTGTGGTTCCCATAATCCCCATGTGTCGCGGTAGGGACCAGGACCAGGTGGAGATAATTGAATCGTGGGGGCAGTATCCCCCATCCTGTTCTCTTGATAGTGAGTTAGTTCTCACAAGATTGGATGGTTTTATAAGGGGCTTCCTGCTTTGCTGGGCACTTCTCCATCCTGCTGCCATATGAAGAAGGATGTGTTTGCTTCCCCTTCCACTACGATTATAAGTTTCCTCCACAGCCCTGTGGAACTGTGAGTCAATTAAACGTCTTCCTTTATAAATTACCCAGTATTGAGTATTTTTTCATAGCAGCATAAGAATGTACTAATACAGTATGTCTTATAGTTTTTTCTTGATAGCTAGACGTGATGTAAAAGGAACCACTGTAAATAGGCCTTTAGTAGTGTGATGGCAAGATGTAAGAGGAGAGGAACTGTTCTGTAGTTCTTTTTTAGTTTGTTTGTTTTTTTTGAGACAGAGTCTCACTCTGTCGCCCAGACTGGAGTGCAGTAGAACGTCTCGGCTCACTGCAAGCTCCGCCTCCCGGATTCACGCCATTCTCCTGCCTCAGCCTCCCGAGGAGCTGGGACTACAGGTGCCCGCCACCACGCCCGGCTAATTTTTTGTATTTTTAGTAGAGATGGGGTGTTACCGTGTTAGCCAGGATGGTCTCGATCTCCTGACCTCTTGATCCACCCCCCTTGGCCTCCCACAGTGCTGGGATTACAGGCGTGAGCCACTGTGCCCGGCCAGTTCTATAGTTCTATGATTAGGTCTTGGGTTTTTGGTGAGCCTTTGTCCCTGGACTGTGGCATTCATAGGTGTTTCTCAGTTTAGGATTGGCTAGTTTGAGTAATATCAGGGGATCCTGGGGTTTAAGGGTGGTCTCTGTTTGCCTGGTACCTGGCCCTGGGATGATTAAGGCAGAAGAATATTGCCTCTTAGGGTGTTAGGGCCAGACAGAGGATGTATGGCTGTGGATCATTTAGTTTGCCTATCAAAGGCATGCTCAGGATTGAGCTTTTTGCTATTTCTTAGAATTGGCTGTCCCTGGGAGGAGCAGGAGCAGTCTTCTCCTTAGTCAGAAAGGTTTTTAAAATGTCAACACATCATAATACAAGTTGAGCATCCCAAATCAAAAAATCTGCAGCGCTCCAAAATCCAAAACATTTTAAGCACCAGCATGATACCCAAAGGAAATGCTCATTGGAGTATTTTGGATTTTGGATTTTTAGGTTTGGGATGGTTCAGCCAGTAAGTATAACGCAAACATTTCAAAATCCAAAGAAATCCAAAACCTGAAGCACTTCTGGTCCCAGGTATTTCAAATAAGGCATACTCAACCTGTATTCAGAAATAAAAATATAAAAACTATAGCCCTACACATATATGGCCAGTTGATTTTCAACAAAGGTGCCAACATAATTCAATAATGAAAGGATGATCTTTTCAAAAAATTGTGCTAATATGCACATGGAAAATAAATGATAAAAGTAAAAACAATTCTTCACTAGATTTAATAAGATTTAGGTTCAATAAGCTTAAACTTAAAGGCTAAAACTATAAAACCGAGAAAACATAGGAGAAACTCTTTGGATATGGGGTACATAAAATTTCCTATGTAGAACACAGAAAGCACTAAGCCTCCAAGAAAAATTGATAAATTGATTTTCATCAAAATTAAACCCTTCAGCTCCTTGGAAAGACAAACTACAGACATGGAGAAAATATTTGAGACCTCTCTTTCCCCCTGTTTCCCTCCTTTTCTCTTTCTCTCCCTCCTTCTCTCTCTCTCACCCCAACCAAGAAGTTGTTTCCAGAATTTATAAAGAATACTTATAATTCAGTAGTAAGAAAACTGAGTAAAACAGGTAAAAGATTTGAATAGATACTTTAAGAAGATATACATTAAAAGATAATCATTGTCACTGGTCACCAGATAAATGAAAATTAAAACCATAATGAGATATTACTACACACCCACTAGAAAGACTAAAATTAAAAGGACTGACTTTGTCAAGTGCTGGCAAGGTGATGGAGCAACTGGAACTCTTGTTCACTGGTGGTGAGAAAGTAAAGCGTTATCATTGTTTTGGGAAAGTTTAGTAGTTTGTAATAATGTTAAAGGTGTACTTACTGTATGACCCAGCAGTTCTGCTCCTAGTTATTTACCTAAGAGTTATGAAAACTTACATCTACAAAAACAACTTGTACATAAATGTTCAATGTTCCAAACCTGGAAACAAGTGAAATATTCATCCACAGGTAAATGAATAAAGAGATGCATACTGTACTATTACTTGTCCATTAAGAGGAACAAACTACTGATGCATGCCGCAACGTTAGTGAATCTCAAAACACTGTACTGAGGGAATGAAGCCAGATGAAAAGAAGTAAGACTGTTCTAGGCTAGACAAAACTGATCTTACAATTATAGAGACAAAACCACTGAGTTGCCTGGGATGGAGGACTTGAATGTAAGGGGCACAAGGGAACTTTTGGGGAGTACTAACATCTGTAGCTTAATTTTGGTGTTGGTTATATGGAGATATATGTGTCATAACTTATCAAAGCTGGGTGTGGTGGCACGTGCATGTAATCCCAGCACTTTGGGAGGCTAAGGTGGGAGGATTGTTTGAACTCATGAGTTAGAGACCAGCCTGGACAATATAGCAAGACCCCATCTCAAAAAAACAAAAATTTATCAAACTATACTGTTAAAATGGATACATTTTATTATACGTAACTGTGGTTTTTGCCATTAAAAGTAATTACTTTTGCACCAACCTAAATATAATTTAATAATGTAAATTATATTTCAAGTAAGTAGTTTGAAACATATTGGTCACCACAGAGCTATTAAGTATGCATAGATTTTATTTCTTTTTCTGTAATACAGTGATCACAATTTTTAAGCCACTCAAAGAATTAGACTATTGTTTGAAGAAGCCGTTGTAGAAGGGTAAGAGTCAGGGCAGGAAGACCAAATAGGAGGCTATAGCAATAATCTGGATCAGAGATAATCTTAGCATCAAATTCAACAAGATTCTGTACATTAACCTTCCATTGCTTACTCAATCAAGCCAAAAGTAGAGAAGGGGTGTTTTGAGACTCTTTGGCATACAGACTTGTGGTTAATTTTCTCTTTCTCATCTATTTTTCAATTCCATTCTACCAATGTATAGTCTTTGATTCTAGATCCTTTCTGGAATTCTGCTTGGCAGGCTGACCTTCCCTCTCAGATGGGACTGTCCCTACATGTGGCCTCTTTGACCCTGCTTCTGCAGCCTGTCCTCTTACCACCACTTTTTCACTCTCAAATGGGGCTAACCACATCCTTCCCTGCCACTCATCCATTGATGGCTGTTCCAGTTCACTTTGGGAGTAAAAAATTTGATAATTACTTGTTTTGAGGAAATAAAATACATGTGCTCACCTACCGTATTCAGCTAGAAGCTGGTGTTGATATTTTGATTAATCTAGGATAGATGCTTTTTCCAAATAAGATTGGAAGTCTGTGGAAGTGCATGATTTATTTTGCTTTCCAGCCAAACTATCAATTAAGTCATTTCGTCTTCATATGATCTCTCATTAGATCAAGCATTGGCTAATTTCTGTAAAGAACTATATAGTAAATATTTTAGGCTTTGTGGCCATATGATTTTTGTCGTATGTGTTCAACTCTGATGTAGCATGAAATGAATGAATGTAACTAATAAGTGTGGCTCTATCCCTGTAATGTACAATTTTACTAAAAATGTAGCACGAATTAGAACGTACATGAATTTGAATTTTACATAAATGTAAAAATGTAAAATGAATTTTACCTATGAGCCATATATTTTTGGAACCCTGCAGTAGATGATGATTGACTTACTTTGGGGGCACTGTTGTTATTATTGTCTCATATTATAGGTTCCTCACTTAACAGGAGACCGTAATTCCCATTTGCCCAAGAAATGGTCATTTATTCACGTTCTTTTTTTCCTCTTGTCAACCTTATGCCCTAAGACCATTTTCATGGCACATTCCTTCTTTATATTTAGCTCTATTCATCTAATTTGATTAAGACTAGTGAGAAGATGCTCTTGCTCTACATTTGATACAGCATTCAGTAAGCTTTTAAAGTGAGAAGTCTCATATCTATCACTAATCTCTAGTGTGCTCTAAAGAGATTTTTTTGCAAGATCTTAATCAATACCTGTCAGTCAACTGTAGCTGTTAGACAACCTGCTTAGCCTTCCAGTTTTCTTTTCCCAGATTCCAGCTTTTCAGATCTGCCTGCATCTGACAATCTGTAATTCAATATTGGACTACATTTCAAGGATAAAGGAGGAGGCATTATTTATTTGCTATCAAGCAAACTGGATGTAAATGGAAAACTGTCGAGTATCTTTTATTTCCTGCAAGTTGCGTGGCAGCTCAACTATCCTAAGTTTTGCCCATAGGAAACCTCTGTAGATGATTGTTTGTGAGTGGAGTAAGTCCTGAATATGTAGGAAAAAAATCACTGTGATATTTCACGTAGAAGATGTTTAGTTAATATTATATGAAACTGTTGAATAAGTGGGCTCAAAAAATTCATTTTCTTTTCTATATTTTTAAAGACAGCTTCTTCATCCTTAATGACCAAATAGCTGAGGAAAATACTGTTGCAAATTTTCAATGATTGTAAGCCTAACCCAAGCAGGTTTCAAACCTATTTTGACATAATTCAGATATTTGTTAGGAATGGATGTTACAGACTCAGAATTTTATCATTGGAAGACTGCCTTGCAGATCTTTGAATCTAATCTTCTTATGGAATAAATACCTAGTGAGCTGATGTCATGAATTGGATGTATTTTACCCAATCCAAGGTTCAATACAGGATGACCCTTCTTACACTCTATCCCAAACAATAATGAGCTACCCTAAAATGGATATCCACTCCAACCAAAACTTGGTGTTTAACAGCATTTAAATGGGTTCTTGAGTGAGCAATAGGGACTTTGTATGTAAAGAGGAGAGGGAAATATGATAATAGTGCAAATGTTATTTTGCGTAAGAAAGAAATAAATTGATTTTCTCTTATTAGTGTAACATCTCATCAATACACTCCTTTCATAATCATGTAATCAAGACCATCTCTTATTGGTCAAAGAAAGAATTGTGAGAGTCTACTTTCATTTCTTCTTTTTGTATGGCCTTAATTTCAAATAATGATAATATATAGTAAATTTTACCCCCTGAATGGTACTGGTTTTAGAATAAATCATAAAATATGTATTGAACACCTGTTTCATGCAAGGTGTACTTAATTGGTACTATACTCATTTAAGAAAAACAGACATGAATATAGCCAAACTAATAAAAGAATTTACTGAGTGAATCTCTGAATTAAAAAAGATTGCATCAGCATTACAGAACAGTTCACTGAAGCATTTTTTAACATTTAAAAATTAACACATTTAAATCATGCTTTGAGTTGCAACTAGATTTCCAAAATAAACATTAAAAAGTTAAGAAGCACCAGTGCCTATTAAACAGTAATTTTGCTGTCCCTTTCGTATAAAAGTACTTCTCCCTGATTCTCAGTTACTACACATAAAATTATATTTGTTTTTATTCATAAACTCCATGCTCTTTGTAGAAAATTTAAATAGTAATGGAAAGCTATAAAGAGAAAGACAAAAATAGCAATTTCTTTTAGGAAAAGCTGGAAAAGTTAACTTTCAGTATTTTAATCATCTTCTATTGTGAGCATTCTTTTTTTTTTCCCCCTGAGACCTGGGGTCTCACTCTGTCACACAGACTGGAATGCAGTGGTGTGACCATGGCTCACTGTAGTCTCGACCTCCCATCTTAGCCTCCAGCATAGCTGGGAGTGATCCTCTCCTCTTAGCCTCTGGTGTGGCTGGGAATACAGGTGCATGCCATCATGTCTGGCTAACTAAAAAAAATTTTTTTTTATAGAGATGGGATTTCCCTATGTTGCTTAGGGTGGAACATTCTTAAATTTATTTCTTTATACTATTTAAATTTTTTAAAATAAATTACTTTATGAATAATATTTCTGTGTCAACAATATGCACATTACAATTTTGATATTCATTACCAAATACCCATCAGAAAGATCAGAGCAGCCTACAACTCTACTAACAAGGCTGGAAAATGCCTATTTCCCCAAATCCTAGATGCTTCTAAATACTGCCAGTTTTATTCATTTTTGCCAAATTAATGGGACACTATGTTATCTAGTTTCTGTTATCATGTCTTTGAGCACTGGTGTGGTTTGTATTAGTTGTCTATTGGTTTTTCTTTTTCAGTCATGAATTTCCTATTCATTTCCTTTACCTTTATTTATATTTTTTGAAATATTCAAAAGTTATTTGTAAGGCCTTTTTGTATATTGGAGACATTTAACACTGTGTCTATATATGTATTTTAGACTGTTTCATGGTTTATTACCTTTAAACCTTGTTTCTGGTTTTCTTCCCCCAAGACAAAAATTCTTTATTGTTATGTAATTGAATATATATTTATTTTCCTTTATGGTTTTTACATTTTATGTTCTGTTTAAAACACTTTTTCCACCTTAATATTATACAATATTTATTTCTATAGAACAATAGTTCAATGATAATTATAGAATTGTATTTTGTTTCATCTATTTAGTATATATAACGACCTCCTTTGTAATTTAGTTTAACTCAGTGGTTTTTCAACTTTAGCTACTCATGGAATGCCCTTGTCTTGATCTGTTTTTGTGCTGCTATTAACAGAGTGCCGCAGACTGGGTCATTCATAAACAATAGAAGTTTATTTGGCTGGTGTTTCTGGAGGCCGGGAAGTCCAAGGTTGAGGGATTACATCTGTAAGGGCCTTCTTGCTGCATCCTAGCATGGCAGAAGGCGTCACATGACGGGAGCGTGCTCCTGAGAGGGAACAAGAGAGGGCCGGACTCTCTTTTATAGCAAACCCACTGTTGCAATAGTGACATGAATCCGTTCGTGAGCGCTGTGCTACTGAACGACCCCACCTCTCAACATGTTGCACTGGGGATTACGTTTCCAGCACATGAACTTTGAGGTACACATTGAAACCATAGCAGCCCTGCAGTGGGATGCTTGATTCTGTCTCATGGGTAGTGTCAGAATCCCTAGGGTGGGTGTTAGGCTATGTGTTTAAAAATATATTCTTGTGTATGTGTGTGGCATGTGTAACTGTGTAGCATTTTTTTAGATCTGGGCTTCTCAGTTCTTTTCAGACCCAACTCCCCATTTTTGTGAGAACTATTTTTATTGCCCTCTCTACTATCTTGAAATGAAATTTTACAGGTAGTGCAATATACCTAGTTACATATTTTCAAAACATTAATATAATGCCATAATTGGAATATAAGGAAAAAGAAAATTAAAACCTATGATAAAATAATATGTATTTTAGTATATAAATGCTGAGGTATTAGACTGGAAGACATCATTAGTCACATATTTGCACCTATACATAGAGTCACTGTGAGAAGGGAAGTAGAGATGCGGGTCAGAAGCCGTGTTGTATTGGTAACTCAAGTACTCTAAGTGGTGTTGCCTTCAGTGATATGGCTTTAATTGAGTAATTTAGGTAAAATTCTTAAAATACAGTCTTCCTTTGATTTACCTAGAAAATTCAGTGCTGTTAGGATTATGTAAAAACGAGCTCTTTGTTTTTAAATGTAAAAGGAGATTTAGTTCTAGGCTCAGACAATTATAAACAAGTTTTCCACCGTCATGGAATTTGGTTGGACACTTGAAAGTTGCATTGGATTTGGATAATTCTTCATTGTGGAGAACTGTCCGACACAGAATGTCTGGCTCCTTTGGTTCCTGCTCATTAAGTGCCTGTAATTTTCCATAAACCTTGTGACAAATAAAAATACCCGCATAAATTTCTCAAACAACCCTCAAGATAGGCGTCACTCCCATTGAGAACTACTGGTGTGGTTAATGAGTTTATGTCGTGAACTGTTATAAATACTATAAAAATACATTATGAAACTGTATAGATTCTGAAGTTGTTTTTTGAGTCATGCATGCACTGAAAGAATTGTGTTATAGATGTCATTTCCTTTTTTTCCAGCATGAAACTCTTGTCTCCTTTTGTTTTTACTTCTTAATGTAGTATTTTAATTTCCTTTGTCTCTCAAGCCAGTTCATGCTTATTGTACATCATTGTTAATTTTCAGCTATGACAAAAGAAAATACTACAGCCAATGTTATGAGCAAAATCTTAATTATATCCTGTATTGGAAGTAATGTAAGAAAATAGGAAAAAATGTAAATCAGGAAGGTTGTCTTTTGAGAAATTGGCAAATATATATGACAAATGTGTCATCGAGGTCTTGACCAAGGTTAGTTTGTTGAGTGAAGATAATGCCTTTTGTTTTTGTATGATTGTCACGTTTTGCTTCAAAGTCAAAGGAGCTGCGTAAAAAGATTTCTTTGTAAGCCTTTTCTATGGTATGCTTGTATTCGTAACCCTTATGGTAAGATGTGATAGGTGAAGCTGAATGATAAATTTTAACAGTTAATGTTTTAAAAAGAAAAGGAATGGGCTGATATGTGGTACCATATTACAGACCAATTTTAAGTGGTATGATTGCTTTCTCTATTTATGCCTAAATGATCTGATTTGGCTTTTCATGGAAATAATGAACATATTTTTGCTGAAGCAAATGAGAAAATAAGTATGTTTTCAGGCAATGATCTAGGAATAAGTTTAAGAAACATTTTGTCTAGTTTCTAGTTATTGTTGAGAAAAGGAGCTCTATATCAATTATGTTAAGGACCTAAAGTTGTTTTAACAGGAATTTTCCAAAATTTGGATGTTTAATTCCAAATGCTGTCATCTAACTGATCGGTTGTTCATTATCTGGTGTACGTTTTGTACTTATCTCACCCTGGTAAGCTATCAGGAGGCTGAGCTGCTCAAATATTTAGGTTTTAACAGAGGGGTTATGGATGATCTCTTGTAATTAAAATGAGCATTGATTAAAATCTGCTCTTAAGGTCTTTTGCCTCAAATTATCTCTGCCTTGTTTTGCTGAGTGTGAGCCCTGTTCAGCTGGACACTGAGGCATTTGAACAGAGCCTAAGGTACTTTCTGATAGACCCACTGGCACTATGTTATCCGTTCCTGCCTACACGCTCTGTCCATGAGAGCATCTGACAGGTTTCTCAACTTCTATAATCAAAGGAAAACTAACGCCAAAGTTATGGTTCTCCCTTCTATCAGTAAAAAACCAAAAAAGTTAACATTCTTGTTTCTTGTGAGTGCAAATGAATGTAAATTTGTTAGCTTAACCCACTCACATACAAAGACCAGGTGAAAAAAAATATATAGATATATCTGAGTTAGTGAATACCAACCTAACTCTCTAAAGGGTGACAATAACAAGCATGGGAAACTGTGTTAAATAATTTATACACATTTCTTTAGTGCATAGACTTTTAGAACTTTTAGGATGCTAAGTATATTTTGAATCTCTAAGTAGGGTCAACATGATATTGTGTTTTTAAAACTTACTTGACAATTGTACCATGTATATTTTAGGCCTCTTACACACATTGGTAATTGCTAATTGCTAGTCAAGGACTAGCCCCCTGAGCAACAGAAGCTTGTTCTTTCACTGAGTTGTATTTTAATATTATGCCTTTCAGTGAGTACTGATATTAGAAGTCATATGAAAGGCCATTATAGTTGTGAACTGTTGTTAAGGACATTGTTCAGTGTGTTGATTAGCATTCTTGGAATAAATCCCTCCTGTGATTTAATACTTGGTGAAACTGTATGTTTTTACTTTCTGTCAGTTGAGGATTATATAAGCCATTATGCCTTCTTTTTTGCCTTGCTTGTAAGGCATCTCAAATAAATGTGACGTACAAATACTCAAATGTAATGCAGAAATTATTCAGCTCTCATGTTTAGCATGCTAAGAATTTTTACTCTCTCTTTTTGTATTTGGGCAGTTTGATAGTTAGATATCAGCTTTTGAGCCTTTATTTGTAATAGAGGGATAATACCTACCATTTGGATTGTTACGAAAATCAAGTGAAACGTGCTTCGTTATTTGCTTAGCCATGTATCTAGTACCTTGTAGAATGCTAAGTAAATGCTAGCGTGCTTTCCTTTTTCCCCCTTCCATAATTTTAATATGTTCTGTTTCTGGTTTTGCAGTCTTATTTCATACACATCTTTACTTTGAATCAGCTCAGTCTTGTTTAGAAGTGAGTGAAGTGTAAATGCTAAAACAAAAATTATGAACAGCACATTGATTTTGTAGACCCAGAAATTGAGGAGCAGATTTATAATTTTTGAAATAAGAATGAGTAAGTGGTATCAGGCATTTCAGTAATGGAAATTCCAATTTTCAGAATATAACACGAGAGACATTTGATTGAGGCTTCTTCTACTCACCAGGGCTAAATATTAGATGATCTGGATTTTATTTCCATATGAAAGTGATTCCGTGTGAAAGGAGCCGTCGCCTTTCTGATCCAAGGCTCAAGGATAGTGTCCTTCCCTTTAGTCCATTCATCTGTACATTGGCAACTGACTCAATGGTCTCTTTAGCCACATCAACACATGGCTAGGATCATGGCTTAGGTGACCATATAATTTGTCATCAAAACCAGAACTTTTCAGAGTGAAAAGGGGCACTATTAATATTTAAGCCAGGACATAGATACAAACCTAGACACATCCAGGACAAACTGGACATTTAATGATTTTAGCTAATAGTTCTTTTTATGTTGCTTTTAAAACAAAGAGATTTTATATTTGGGGGTGTGTTAGCCCTCCTGATATTTCTGTAGCAGCACAGAAATTCAGAAGGCTGTCATCCCTATTTTGAGTCTTCTGAACCACGTTTTATTTTCTAATTTGGAGTGACATTTTCCTTTTGTATTCAAAATGACTATTGTTGAATCCTGTTTAATCAGTTCCAAGACCATCTTATACATTATTAAGTAAGCTGTAATGGCTCTTTCTTTGGACTCCACTAGCCAGGTAATAACCAGGGGACAAATGAAAGCACAGAGGTGAAGCTGAGGCTTTTAATGTCCTTGCATAGTAATTGCATATTTGGCAAAGACTCA